>NC_000004.12:112406229-112557744 GCF_000001405.40 Homo sapiens
TTCATTGATGGATGGATGAATGAATAAACAAAATGTGGTATATACATGCAATGGAATATTATTCAACCTTAAAAGGGAAGGAAATCTTGCCACATGCCACAATATGGATGAACCTTGAATATATCATGCTAAATGAAGTAAAAAGACTAATGCTGTATGATTCCACTAATACGAGGTATCTAAAGTGGTCAACTTCATAGAAGCAGAAAGTAATGTTGGAGCTCAGAAAAGGATACCCCAAAGTAAGGCATTTTGGCATGCTAAGTAGTTTGAAGTAAAGGAGATTGGAAGACGCCAGAAGCAGCCTCAGAAGCAAGTTCTCTCTGACCTTCTCCTGCTTTCCTGTCTCTCACCCCTCTTTCACCACTAAACCAAGTCATAGAAACCACAGAATTCCTCTTCCTCAAGGCAAGTCATAGAAGTTAGAATCCCTCTCCACCAAAGCAAGCCATAAAACCTAGAAATATTACTCTAACCTTTCCCTGCCTGTCTGTGTAGAGGCTGGCCATAAAAAAATTCTCTGTCCTATCTTGTCTGATAGATTATAAGACCTGTACCTGGAAGGAAGGATACTACACAGACAGGCTGAGAAAAATCTCACCAGATAGGTCTTGCTGAGTCCCATCGCACCTAGTCTATTATCATTAGTCATACTCCTTCTGTCCAATCACATTTCTACATGGCTGTCTATTCTTTGTCAAATTTAAGCCTTAAAAATGGGAAGTTTTTCTGGGTCTTTGGGTCTTCATTTCTAAAGGCTCCCATGTAACGTCAAACTTTGATTAAATAAATTTGTTATGCTTTTCTCTTGCTAACCTGTCTTGTGTTATAGGAGTGTCAGCAGTGACCCTTATGATGGAAGAGGAAAGGTGTCACACCTCTTCACCCTTACAGTAGAATGGTGGTTGCCAGGAACTGGGGAGAGTGGAAAAAGGGGAGTTGTTTTTTAAGGGGTATAAAGTTTTGGGTTTGCAAAGTGAAAAATGTCTGAAGATCTGTTTTGCAACAACATGAACATACTTAACACTGCCGAAATGCATACTGAAAAAGGTCAAGATGGCAAATTTTATGTTATGCATTTTTTACCACTATGAAAGAGAGAAACCAGGAACACTGGCTTATGCCTGTAATGCCAGCTACTCAGAAACTGAGGTGGGAGGATCACTTGGGCCCAGGAGGTTGAGGCTGCAGTGAGCTATATGATCAGCCACTGCACTCCAGCCTGGGTGACAGAGTGAGACCCTGTCTCTAAAAATTAATTAAAAATAAGTAAATAAAAATAACAGAGAGAGAGACTTGAATTTTTGCCTAGCTCTGACTCTTTTGATTTTGTAACTTTGGAAAGTCACTGAATCTCACAGCTTCAGCTTCCTTTTCTCGTTTAGATTTTAGAGTTACTATAAAATTTAAATGTCATAGTGTGTGTGAACATTTTTTATAGACTAGATGGTCCTATACAAGTGGAAACCATTATTCCCTGTGAGGAAAGAGTGGGGAATCACCTCTGGAGAATAGCCGGCCTCTGAACATTGCTGCCCGAGTAGTTACTGCAGCTTCCCTAAAACTGAAGTGAGACACTAGTAAGAATGGAGAGCAGTGCTGGGCACGGTGGCTCACGCCTGTAATCCAGCACTTTGGGAGGCTCAGGTGGGCAGATTACGAGGTCAGGAGTTTGAGACTAGCCTGACCAACATAGTGAAACCCCGTCTCTACTAAAAAATACAAAAATTAGCCGGGCGTGGTGGCGTGCACCTGTAGTCCCTGCTACTCAGGAGGCTGAGGCAGGAGAATTGCTTGAATCCGAGAGGCAGAGGTTGCAGTGAGCAGAGATTACACCACTGCACTCCAGCTTGGGTGACAGAGCAAGGCTTCATCTCAAAAAAGACAAAAAAAAAAATGGAGAGCAGAACTAGAAATCAAGCATGCACTTAAGTGTAACATCAAAAAGAGGGCATTCACAGGCTATCTGAGTACCCCCCAAGGTCCATAGCCATAAGCAGGGTGGCAGGAATAGTGTTGTTCTTTCTAAGCAAAAGTAGAAGGAAGGCTGTCAGTGGCAGAAACTTCAAGTACTGAAGACAGTAGCTGAAGATACAAAACAAAGGACTATATCTATGTGTCCTTAGCACAGGAAGGACTGGCCTTGCTGAGAGACTGGCCTTATTAGACACAGCTGGCCACATATAAAACCATCAGTTTGCTTTTCCATCTTTGATTTACATTTTATGAATGCCAATGACTGACTTTTTTTTTTTTTTTGAGACTGAGTCTTGCTCTGTTGCCCAGGCTAGAGTGCAGTGGCACAATCTTGGCTCGCTACAACCTCTGCCTCCTCCTGGGTTTAAGTGATTCTCCTGCCTCAGCCTCCTGAGTAGCTGGAACCACAGGCATTTGCTACCATGCCTGGCTAATTTTTGTATTTTTAGTAGAGATGGGGTTTCACCATGTTGGCCAGGCTGGTCTTGAACTTCTGACCTCAAGTGTTCCACCCACCTCAGCCTCCCAAAGTGCTGGGATTACAGGCTTCAGCCACTGCGCTCAGCCAACAGACTTTTTCTCATTTTGAAACTTGCATTTTTCCGATTGATGGTTTATTTGACGAACTCAGTCGAAGTTTTGAGCATGGCAATTTTAGTTAGGCTTTTTCTGGTTGGAAGGAACAGAAGCTCAATCAAGTAAACACATAAAAGGGGATGTGTATTATTTTGAAAATACATGTGGCATACTAAATGAGACATGTAATTCCTAGAATGGCACTCATGAAAACATGGACTTGCCTTCAGAGCCATTCTTGGATCTTCCCTTGTGTTGCCCATAAACATGGCTTGGCTATACTCTACTTTCTTCCTATCCTTCAACAACAGGCAAATTCTTTCTATATTTTTTAGTTCAGATTGATACGTTGGTTTTTTAAAGCCTGGCCACAGAATCATGAGGGGTCAGGTTATCAGGTAGCTACTCTCAATCCAGTGGCCTTGATCTGGTCGTGGGGTGGAGAAAAAAGGGTGTCAAGGCCAAGTAGCAAAATACACAGCTACCTCAAAGACAGGGGCTGTGGGCACAGCAGTTTCCCTAGAAAGGGTTATGGTGTGCCTTAGAAAGGCAGTTATTCATGTCAGGGTCTTTGGGAGGATCTGATCAATAGTACCTCTCTTCCTCTCCTGGATTCTGAGCAAATGGAGAAATAAGACAAAAGAGGCAAACAAGAGATGAAATATTCCCCTTAATTCTAATACAGGGTAAGTTAGAAGATATAGCTTTGTATTAGACGTAGGGAATCTGCTAGTGGAACCCCAAAATTATATAGACGTCCCCATTTAGTCACAGGAATTACAGGGTCAAGCAGAATACTCCATGTAGGGCGGCTTACTAGACAAGACTTATGATATAGAGAAGTAACGACAAATTGCCGTTTCCTTTAGACAGCTTGTTCCCAAGAGAAAAAAGGAAGAAGAGAAGTCATACATGCCCACTTTATTCTTCTAAAATTTACCAGTCAGATTAGTCACTCCACCCCTCATGAAGTAGAGTGGGGAAAGTGATAGAAAGAGGCCGAGGACGCTACGGTCATTGAGCTTCCGTCACATGGAAGGAAACATCGAGAGGAGAGAAGAGATATTCTCCCCAACAGTTGGCAATTCTATCACAATGACAGCAATGATAGACTCAGACCAAAAAGATAAATAGAGTAAAAAATTTTATACTTAATAAACACATTGGCAGTTTAAAAATCTTAACATGTTAAGTAAGCATCAGTTTTAAAAAAGAAAGATTATTGTGCTGGTATTTGGCAGGCATTACCTGATTGATGAAAGCCTGTAAATACAAATATCCTGTAACCAATTATGCATATGGTATTTATTAACATAATAGTAAATATCAGATAATTGACTCAAAGGGGACCCTCTGCAGATCTCTGAACTTGCTTTGTGCAACTCTCTTCTTCTGGTACTCTGCCCTGTTAACTCCCTACCTGGGCCTCTCCAGACTCCCAGCAGCTCCATCCGGTTTCCTAACATAGAGTCAGGACAACAAGGGAGCATGTAGGATCTGGATTTGGACCTCCTGTGTTCAAACCCCAGCTCTTAGTCATGTGACCTTGGCATATCACTTCACCTCTCTGCATCTCAGGTTTCCCATCTTACAGAAGAGAATAATAATAGAACGTGCCTCTTAGGATTGCTAGGAGAACTTATTGAATTAGTGCATATAAATCACCTAGCACTGTGCCTGGCACCTGGTTTTGCCCAGTAAGTGTTAGTACTTAGGATTATGTGGTGATGAAAGCAGTACTTTGTGTAGCAACATTGTGGTAGGAAAATGGGCAATACTTACAATGCTTTCTAGGCTTCATGCATGAATAAACATGCCCAGAAAGCACTCAGCATGATTTAGTTTAGCATAGGAAGATAATAGTATTTGGGTGATAAACTCATTTATGCTACTAGCTACGTAACCACTAAATCAAAGGTCTTTAGTATAACACCCTAGCAGAGCAAAAGATGATGATGTTTTTTCATAAAAATTTGATTATTTATTTCTACTTCTCGCTCTTTATGTTACACTTTCATTTCATGCCGGTTTTCTTCTTTTTCTTATTTTATTCATTAACTAAACATGATGATATAAATCAAATATGGACTGTTATCTAAAATTCTGTATTTCTTCCTAATTAAAATGTAGGCAATAAATGAAGCAGAGTGTCATGAACTAATGTGGAAGTTCTCCCAGATGATGATGATTGAAAGAAGAAAACAGCAGAACAATATGTTTAGTGTGACGTCATTTACGTATGAGAGAGAAAGAGATAGGAAGGGTAGGAGAAGGCAAAGCAAGACAACGATCAATTAATGTCTAAATATAAATAAAAGGATAGGCGTTCTGGAAGGAACGTCTCTCCCTAACCATTGTCAAGGAGAATTGAAGCAGGAGGAGAAGAAATAAGATAAGGGATGGGGAAACTATGGGGCGCTTTTACTTTTTACCCTATATAGTTTTGTTGTTGTTGTTGTTGAGACGGAGTCTCGCTCTGTCGCCCAGGCTGGAGTACAGTGGCTGGATCTCGGCTCCCTGCAACCTCCGCCTCCTGGGTTCAAGTGATTCTCCCGCCTCAGCCTCCCGAGTAGCTGGGACTACAGGCGCATGCCACCACACCCAGCTAATTTTTGTATTTTTAGTAGAGATGGGGTTTCACCATGTTGGCCAGGCTGGTCTCAAAATCCAGGCCTCAAGAGATCCACACGCCTCGGCCTCCCAAAATGCTGAGATTAGAGGCGTGAGCCACCATGCCCGGCCCTACTTTTTACCCTATGCGCTTTAGTATTGTTTGAGTTTTTAACAACGGGAAGTATGCATTTATCGCTTCTATAATTTTATAAATGTAATGGGGGAAATTGAATGAAGGAAATACTATTTTATTGCACAATTGAACTGGACTTTTCTATTTTCTTTCTTTCGGTTCAGCTGCCTAACAAAGTATTTTTCTCTTCCTAGCTGTGGGTTTTGTTGTATTAATGAAAATGCCTCCCACGCTAAGCCTGGCCCTCAGCCTGCCAGCGTTTCCGCCTGGCTCACGATGTTCCACGCTGTTCCTCCAGGCGTCCCTGAGGGCCTCCATCCTCGCTCGGGACTGTGCGGCTGCGGCGGCTATTGTGTTCTTGGTGGACCGGTTCCTGTATGGGCTCGACGTCTCTGGAAAACTTCTGCAGGTCGCCAAAGGTCTCCACAAGTTGCAGCCAGCCACGCCAATTGCCCCGCAGGTGGTTATTCGCCAAGCCCGAATCTCCGTGAACTCAGGTATGCTCCCTCCTGCTGGCCGCCCCCGCGTCCTCAGTGTCTTCTGGTCCCCTTCCCTCCCGAGCTACTTGACCTCTGTGGGACACCCGGAGCACCCGGGCCCTGCGTGCCATCTTTCCGAGCCCGGGGCTCCCCTCCCCCGCCCCTGTGCCCTTCCACCCGCCTCTTTGCCAGCACAAAGGCCCTGGCATAAAGGGTTTCAGAGCCAAAAGCAGTAGAGAAAATTGTGAAAGGGTGTGGAAAATACTAATTGGAGCTTTTGTCTTCTAACAAATCTGTCCTGCTGCTTTCAAACAGGGGTATCTGAATTGCTATACTTCTGACCAAGAGTCTTTAAAAAGCAGATTAGAATTCTACTATTTTCTCTTCGCTCTCCTGTCTCCTTTCTGTAGGACCACTTGACTAAGCTGACAATAGAGCTGACAAACCCACTGAAGTAATTTGAGGGTTTTTTTTCATCATTCAGAACACCGGTACAGTACCTGATTAGGTCTTAAAGTATCTTTTTTTTTCCTGTCACTTTGAATGAAATGAAAAAGGAGGCTGACATTCTAACTTAAGATGTGGTGTGGAAGAGGGCTGGGGGGAGGGGGGCCTGCTATGCGTTACTGCAAAGTCCACTTCCATAGAATTCTTGAATTATTTAAATTGCTGATAGCCATTAGATTTAGAAACGTGTAGCCTGTTATTCCTGTTTCCAAGACTGAAAAAGTAAAGGATGAAAAGAGAAGGCAAGTTACCCCTCCCAGAAATGGGACTGGTTCATTTTCTGATTGGTTTTAGCTGTTGCTATTATTTTAATAACTCTGGTCTTTAAGAGGTTAAAATCTCTTTACTTCATTTCCTTTGAAAAGGAACTGTACTAACTATGCTAAATAGGACAATTGCTGAATGCAGAGAGGGACAGAGACAAAAGGACATGGGAGAAATGGGCTAGTGGAGGTTACCTTTTCAAAAGCCCAAGTTCATTTACGCTCAAGTTCTTGCAACTGTGCATAAATTGTGCAGGTCTTGTTATTTACTTATCTCAAGTAAAGTTCAGGGACAGAGCTGAACTTAGGAAAAATTTCTTCTTTAAAATGTTCCTGATGTAATTTATAATGTGTGGGATATGAAAGAAACCTAACAACTGTTGTTCCTTCTGATGGTGTCAGATGGCAATGATGTTTGAGCAGCGCATTCTCTGAGGGGAACAGAGTGGTGAAGGCTGGAGGGTACAGACAGGGTTCTAATATTGGTTCTCATCAAGAAGAGCTTGGAACAGAGTTAATGTAGCATATTTTGTGCCATACAGCATTGCTATAGTGTGACATGGAAATTGAGATCAAATGGTAAACAGGGACGTTGACAGCTTTGCTTTTACATGTCCAAACTGGTCTTTCAGGTTTCCATTTTTGTTTTTGTTTTGTTTTTGAGACAGTCTCGCTCTGTTGCCCAAACTGGAGCCCAGTGGCCTGATCACAACCCACTGCAGCCTCGACTTCTGGGGCTCAGGTGATGTTCCCCCCTCAGCCTCCTAAGTAGCTGAGACTTTAGGCATGCGCCACCACACCCAGCTAATTTTTGTATTTTTTGTAAAGACTGGGTTTTGCCATGTTGCCCAGGCTGGTGTCAAACTCCTGACCTCAGGTGATCCACCCACCTCGGCCTCCCAGAATGCTGGGATTACAGGTGCAAGCTGCCATGCCTGACCCGGTTTCCTTTTTTTAAATTGGTTTTGGGAGGGTTTTTTAAATTATTTCTCTCAAGATTCTAACCAGGTGGTATAGCAGTTTTCTCCTGATAATGAGAAAGCTTTGGGATGATCATGATGAATAGGATGCTCCTCTGCTCACATTATCCTGTGTCTAACATAAAGGTCCTGGATCTTTTTCCCTAATGGTTGGGATTGTCTTTTCCTCAAAGACACTATTAAAAGTGCCACAGAAAGACAAATATAACCTCAGAGTTAAGTCTTCTTGTGTAAACGTCTACCCCAAAACATCTGGAGCCTCCACCTACACTGGGTGTCTCAGAGAGAGAGAAGGACTGGGACTGAGAGCAGGGATGGCTTAGGGGTAACAGAAGAAGATTTGCTGAAAGGAGGCTCTCAGGCCCAGCACTTAGGAATCGTGGGGTGGAGAAGTGAAAGAGATTATATAATATTGTAAGAGGTAAGGAAGAAAAACAAAGGTAATATGAGAGGACAGCAGTCTTGCTATTATCCATCTGATCCAGCGCTTCCTGGTATCCACCACAGGATCCCATCCAGCCAAACACTCAATGTAGTGGGATGTCAGAAGCAAGAGAAGACCCACAAGGCCAGGCACTATGGCTCATGCCTGTAATCCCAGCACTTTGGGAGGCCGAAGCGGGTGGATCACCTGAAGTCAGGAGTTCGAGACCAGCCTGGACAACATGATGAAACCCCATCTCTACTGAAAACTACAAAAATTAGCCAGGCGTGGTGGCAGCCGCCTGTAATCCCAGCTACTTAGGAGGCTGAGGCAGGAGAATCACTTGAACTCCGGAGGTGGAAGTTGCAGTGAGGTGAGATCACACCATTGTACTCCAGCCTGGGGCACAAGATCAAGACTTCGTCTCAAAAAAAAAAAAAGAGAGACGACTCACAAGGCCTGCTCACCTCACTCTTGCCTGAAATTGGGAGACAAAACCTTTCAAACCACAGTTACAGATAAAGGCTCAGATTTCCAATTCCATCAACATGGAGGACTGAGCACGTGCAGAATCTTCTCCCATTACACATACATAAATATGGTGAATTAAAGATTTGTAGGTACCTGAAACATAAAAGGTATTTAAAATCACAGCAATAGACTACTGCTTACGACACATAGCCAAAGGAACTTACACTTGAGCAAAGTCCTCAAGGGAAGGGGCTGTCATTTTAATCCCTGGGCAGAGATGAGAGACAATTGCCTTGTGCCCATGTGAGAAGTAAAATATTTGCATCAAGCTGGAATTCTTAAAGGTTTGCACAGGCTACAAAAGGAGACTGAACAATCCCACCAGCCTGCCCAGAGAAGTTACAAGGACGCTTGCTCTCCGCCCAAGCTCTGGGATGGAGGGGAAAAAAACTCTCATCTAAAATAAAGGTCTCAACTCTGTGCCGAATTTGAGTGTGGAGTCTGAATTTACTCTGCCCACAAAGCAGGAAACCTGCCATCAAATAATTAAGAAAAAAAAATTGTTCAGGACTGAAATTTCTGGGCCCCAGGAGATCAAATGCAAAACTATACTCTAGAGAAGTATCCACACCCAGGGCCATGGGAATCTCACAGGAAAATATTCTTGGCTAAAGATGACCTTACATTAAAATTATAAGCAACAGGCTGGGCAGCGGCTCACGCCTGTAAACCCAGCATTTTGGGAGGCCAAGGCGGGTGGATTACCTGAAGTCAGGAGTTCGAGACCAGCCTGGCTAACATGGTGAAACCCCATCTCTATTAAAAATACAAAAAATTAGCCTGGTGTGGTGGCAGGCGCACGAAATCCCAGCTACTTGGGAGGCTGAGGCGGGAGAATTGCTTGAACCCAGAAGGCAGAGGTTGCAGTGAGCTGAGATCATGCCATTGCACTCCAGCCTGGGTTACAGTGAGACTCTGTCTCAAAAAAAAAAAGAAAGAAAGAAAACAAAAAAGAAAAAAAAAGAGAAAGTAATAGTAATTGATGGGGAATTCCCCACAGAACAGGCAGCGCATGCAAGTTTGTTTTTATATAGACAGGATACAAGAATTCAACTACAAAACCATGGCTGAAGAGCACAGAACACCCTCCCGGTTGGTGAGATAAGCTTTTGGCATTTCACCTGCTAGTAAGGGTGCCCAACTGCCAACCAGACTGCTTCAATGGGGTGAATGAGATAAAATAAATCCTTAGAAAAATGAAGTAAAAAACAAAGATACAAAAATGCAAGCTTAATGTATTTATTATCATCAGCTTCAAGAGTTATACAATTATTTTGGCAAATCATAATAAAAATTTCTAAATGCTCACTCTCAGTGTTTCACTTAATCTCCTCGATTCAGGCTAGCAACAAAAAGACACAAATAGTAGTGCTCCCCAAACTTCAGTGTGCTCTGAATCCCCTAAAGATCTTATTAAAATGCAGATTCCGATTCAGTAGATCTCTGGTACGGCCTGAGATGCTGCTGTTCTGTGAACCTTGCTTGACTAGCAAGGGATCATCTAAAGATTCTAACCACGTGCCTGGCTGCCCACCTGGGACTAATGACCACTAACAACCTTAAAATCAAGGTACATTTTCTACAGCCAGTTTCTCAGATGTTCCAACCCCATAACTGACCTACCGGAAATGTACGCCTGCAATACCATTAACAGTGGGGGAGAAAATTATGGAACTGGAAACTGTATTTAAAAAAAATGTTGAAAATGAAGCACAGAGAGCTAAGTAGATGAAAATAGGGAAGTTTAAAAAACTCAAAGAGATTTAAAAAAACACAGAAGCATAGGAAGACTTCTAGCGGGACTAACTAGACTCAGAATTGGAGAAAATTATGTCTTTACACTGAAGGAGTATATCTAGCCTTGGGCAAAAAAGTTTTAGGCCAGGCATGGTGACTCACACCTGTAATCCCAGGACTTTAGGAGGCCAAGGTGGGAGGGATCGCATGAGCCCAAGAGTTCAAGACCAGCCTGGGCAACACAGGATGATCTCATCTCTACAAAAAATAAACAAAATCAACCAGGTGTGGTGACATGTAGCTGTAGTCTCAGCTACTCCAGAGGCTACGGTGGGAGGATCTCTTGAGACCAGGAGATTGAGGCTGCAGTGAGCCATGATTACACCACTGCACTCCAGCCTGAGTGACAGAGCAAGACCCTGTCTCAAAAAAAAAAAAAAAAAACTTTTTAAATAAATTCAAGACCATACCTAGTGTGGTAAACTATAGAAAATCATACAATAAGAAAGTCTTAAAGAAACAGACAGAAAAGACAGATTAATATAGGAAGTATATTTAGACTAACAAAAAGTATCTTATCAATAATAAGAGTCCAGAAAGCAAGAGAATCTCCAAAAAATTGAGAGGACATAGGTTTTGACCTCGGATTTTATACCTAGCAAAATTGTCATTCAAAAGTGAGGATAAAATAGACATTTTCAGACCTGATTGGCTAAAAATAAATTATTCTCAAGACAGCTCTCTCATTCACACACACACTCACATACACACTAAAGGATGCATTTTTCTAAGAAGAAAATTGAACTTAGAATGAAGAAGTGGAGAGTAAAAAAAGATGATGACTAAAGAATGTGGTAAATACATTTAGCCATATAAGATTAAAATAAAAGGAAATTATATGGCAATATCACTTATATAATTAATAAGGTGCAAAAAATCTTGAAATATTACCAAATTGACCAACATTGTATTAAATTAATAATGCATTACAATCAAGGAAGGTTTATTCCAGATACATAAGGATAGTGGGTTTTATTTTTGTTTTTATTTTTTGGGGGACACGATCTCACTCTGTTACCCAGGCTAGAGTACAGTGGTGCAATCATGGGTCACTGCAGCCTCAACCTTCCAGGCCAAGCAATCCTCCCACTTTAGCCTTCCAAGTAGCTGGGACTACAGGCATGTGCCACCATGCCCAGCTAACTTGTTTATTTTCTGTAGAGTCGAGGTCTCTCTACGTTGCCCAGACTGGTCTTGAATTCCTGGGCTCAAGCGATCCTCCTGCCTCAGCTTCCCAAAGTCCTGGGATTATAGGCATGAGTCACCGTGCCTGGCTGATAGTTAAGTATTTTTAAATCTATTCATTTAGTGCACCACATGCACAGAATAAAGAAGAAAAAGTATGTGTTCACCTAAATAGATTTTTTAAAGTTAACAAAATTTTCAACCGACTTAGGTTAAAAATGCAAACTAGGGATAGAAATGTAATCAGGTGACAGAAACCACACAGTAATTTGAACAGGAAAGTTCAATACAAAGAATTACTATTTCAGGGGATTAGAGTAATGAGGGCTTGGCTAGTGAAAAGTAAAGAGAACTCTAAAGAAGAACTCTAAAGCGTGCAGGATAGCATTTTTAAGGTACAGCCACTATTCCCTGGACTCAGATAGAACACCTAAAAAAGAGCTCCTGGCCCTCATACCTACGCACACCACGGCTGAGATCAAGACCTTTTTGGAGAAGGCACAGACATGGCTCGCCGCGTGGCAGAGAAGTCACCAAGGTTCCATGCTGGCCAAACTCGCTGGAAACCCACCTTCTGAATGTTGGGGGAAGCCATCCACGGGGAGGCGCTGTGTCTTAGAACTCACCACAAAGCTGCCTTTACAGAGTGCCAGGGGAAACTGGTCACCAGAGGAGCCTAACTGACAGCACTCCACTGTAAAGTCAGCTGAGAGGACTGACTGCCGGGTTCGGCTGACCCTCTGCACAATGAGGAGACAGATGCTACAGAAGTCACCTATGTTGCAGGAGTCAGGCACAGGGAAAGCTATGAAAGCCTGTGTTGTAGGAGTCAGGCATTTAGGAAGTGGTACCCGCAGTGGCCTGGCCAGAGGAGCACACCAAGTCAGGATGAGAAGCACCCTTCCCATGCAGCGTCCTTCCACACCCCACGATGACAAGGCTTACCATCTTGCCAGCTGACAAAGGAGAAATGTTTACCAGATCCATCCCCATGATCACAAAGCAGGTATTGAAGGGTGGATTGGAACTGAAAGATGATAAGTTGGAGCTGAAAAAGTTACTCCCTGCATAGGAGGGAACTTTCTTAAACTGATAAAAGGAAGTAACTGAAAGCCTCCAGCAAAACCAATGATGAAAAATTATAAGAATTCCTTTTTAAGTCATGTCAAGAAAAAAAGTACCTCATTACTGCTTCTATTTGATACTTCCCTGGAAGTCCTCTCAAGGCAATAAGAAAATGAAAGGAAATAAAAGGTATAAAGGCTAGAAATGAATAAACAAAAACAGTATGATTTGTAGACAATATGGCTGAACACATAGAATACTCCAAGAAATCCACAGATTGTTAGAATTAAGAAATTCAGCAAGGTTGGTGAATACAAAGTCAATATTTTTTAAATGCCCATTCTTAGTTAGCAACAAAACCTAATTAGAAATATATCTTTTAAGAATAGAGATTGCTTTGATAAAATTTATTCGTGTAGGTATTTCATTTGATATCTGTCATTTTAAATATATTGGTATGAATAAATTTAATTCGACTGTAAGCCATGATTTCGATACTAATTTTCTTTTATTCTCTGTTTCTCTGTTTTTCTTTTTTTGGACAAATATATGTGGAAAGCCTGCTATGTGCCAACAATTGCATTAGGCCTTTAGGATAGTTATAAAGATGATCAAGATATGGTTCATTATCAAGTGGTTCAAGTTGGGGGAGAAGATAGAACTATAAAAAAATTAAAAATAGCACAGCAATGAGGTTTAAAACAGAGAGGAAATTAGAAGGGAGGGAGGGAAGAAAAGAGGAAGAAAGGCAGAAGGGAAAGAAGGAGGAAAGGAAGGATGAAAGGAAAGAGGTAGAGAGAAAGGGAGGGAGGACAGTAACTTTAAAAATTGACAAGGGAAGGAGACAAGATGAGAAACTCTAAAAACTGCAGATATTATTTCATGCTATATGTTCCATCCTCTGATGAGAATGTGAGGAAAGAAAATTGTATCCTGCATGGCTGAAAATGGTCCCCTACAAAAATATCATGTTGGACAACTAATCTGAGATAGT
This sequence comes from Homo sapiens, assembly GCF_000001405.40. NCBI lineage: Eukaryota > Metazoa > Chordata > Mammalia > Primates > Hominidae > Homo > Homo sapiens. The sequence goes on from NC_000004.12 coordinate 112,419,754, forward strand.
GGTATCTCTGGAAAGCAGTTTAGCACTGGTGAGTTTGGACTTTCATGGCAGGCTGCCTTGGTTCATATCTTTTGGTAATGATACTTATCCTCTGTAAGGCCCATTTCTTTATTTGTGAAATGAAGACAATAGAGTGCTTAGATATAATTTAGAACAATGTCCGTCACATAGTAAACACGTAATAAACGGTAGCTCTTATTGTTATTATTATTACTATTATTACCTTGAAGACAGGGGCTCTGTCTTGTTCATCATTCCATCTCCAGCTCTTAGCACAGTCCCTGGCACAATTCAAACATGTATTTGGATGAATGACAAATAGCTACTGAATATTTGCCCTGTTCCAAGCATTGTTAGAGGTACATGGGACAGGGCAGTGAACAAAACAGGCAAAACCTCCTGCTGTCTCAGAGTTCACACTCTAATGGGGAGACCCAGGCAATGAGGAAATAATTAAAATATACAATGTGTCTTATGGCAATAAATGACAAAGAAAAATAAAGCAGAGGTGAGAAACAGTGGCAGTGTTTTGGTGATCATTTGCTTTGCAACAAGCCACTCCCCAAAGTTAGTGGCCTAAAACAATTTAATCACAGTTCATGTTCTGGCTACAACAATACACATCCCTCTCATGTGCAAAATACACTCATTCCTCCCTCAGAGCCTCGTACCATTAAGGGTTCAGGTTCAAAGCTTAAGATCTTATCCTCTGAAGTAGGTTTAGGGACAAACAAGTCTTCTCAGGTACTTCTTCTGGGGACACAGAGACTTGTGAACTAAAAGACAAGTTACCTACCTTCCAACACAACTGGCATGCAATGGGGATATAGGAAAAGATAATTTCAATAGGCGCTTCTGTGCAAAAGCGGGGGAAATGAGAGTCACTCAGCAGTCACGGTTCATATTAATCTAAAATCTAGCCAGGCATATATCCCAAGTCTTCCTGATGTGAGGACAAGAATTATTTCTTGATTAGGGCTCACTTTTTCTCTTTGAGAATGGTTCGCCTCAGCTTTTGGATTTGTCCTCTGAATCATCCTTCCTTGTCTATAAAATGCATGTATATACTCATACATACATAGAGAGAAAGAGAGAGAGAGAGAGAGAGAGACTCTGTCACGCAGGCTGGAGTGCAATGGTGTGATCTCAGCTCACTGCAACCTACAACTCCTGGGTTCAAGCAATTCTCCTGTCTCAGCCTCCCGAGTAGCTGAGACTACAGGTGCACGCCACCATGCCTGGCTACTTTTTGTATTTTTAGTAGAGACGGGGTTTCACCATATTGGTCAGGCTGGTCTCGAACTCCTGACCTCAGGTGATCCACCCACCTCAGTCTCCCAAATGCTGGGATTACAGGCATGAGCCACCGTGCCCGGCCCATAAAATATTTTTTATGAAAACATCTCAGCGTACTCCATGCCTATAGAAAGTTTGACTCCCAGATGTCTCTTTTCATTTTGAACTATCTCTGCCCTTCTTAAATCAAGCTGATATAATTCCTTTAAATACTTTCTAGCTTTTTAACATACTAAATTAGAAAAAAAATGCCTACATTTATCTTTGAATGCTACTTTGGGCTACAAACCAAAGGGATACAGGACAGCACCCTTAAGATTCTTAGAAGCTCTTTCGCTTGGTCAGAGGGTCTGAGGTCTTAACAAAGTGTTTTACAGCCACGCCCTTGGTTTGATCTTGACCCTAAGGTCACATTTTACTGCCAGTGCCCTGAATTTGACCTTTGCCCCAGGTTTTAATATTTTAAATTTATCTTCAGAATGTCTTGCTGTCTGGAAAAACTATTCTGGGCCGTCTTTATTTTCCCTAAATCTTGCTTAAAAATGGAATACAGTAGTCCCCCCTTATTCATGGGGGATACGTTCCAAGACCCCAGTAGATGCCCAAGCCTGATTGCCATTAATCAAGACACATTTCTGTTTATGTCTTCTACCCACCGATTTAATGCCTTTTCCATCTTAACTAAGCATCTATCACGCACGGTAGCCATACTTTCACAGTTGGAGATGTGACAGCAAAACTAGCACAAATCTCTTTTTCCTTCTTCACCATTTTTGGATAGAGGATGCATCCTTACCATAGACCTTAGCAACTTTGGCATATGAATTTTTTCCTTCTTTATTAAGTTGAGAATTTTCACCTTCTCACTTAAAGGAAGCACTTTACAGCTTCTCTTTGGCACATCCAAATTGCCAGCATCACTACTCCTGTCCTTTGCGGCCATTGTTAAGTAAAATACGGGTGACTTGAACACAAGCACTGCATTACCTGACAGACAGTTGATCTGATCATGGAGAGGTCTGCTAAGTGACTAATGGGTGATCATCGTAGATAGCATGGATCCGCTGGACAAAGGAATGGTTCATGTCCCAGGCAGGATGAGATTTCATCACGCTACTCAGAACGGCACGCAATTTAAAACTTATGAATTGTTTATTCCTGGAATTTTCCATTTAATATTTTTGGACTGTGGTTGACTGCTGGTAACTGAAACTGCAGAAAGGGAAACTGGGGACAGAGGGGACTACTGTAGTTTCTTCTTTAGGTTATTGCTTTCTTCCTGTACTTTATCTTGGGTAACTAAAAGATACACATTTTGGCACTTTCAATATCCTTCCTGGGTATCTCCCTAGCTAGACACCGAGTCCACTGGTTACATTTTGCTACATTCCACATTACTCCTGGAGACCATGTTGCCAAACTTTACAACACCGTATAATGTCTGTTCCCTTTCTCAAACTTCCAGGAACAATTTCTTCACTGCCTTTTGTCTCTGCAACACCCTTCAAGTCTCCAAAGTTTTTGTTATAGTAGTACTCCACTTTTAAGTGCATGATTTTTCCATTGCTATGTTAAAAGCCACTCCATGACATAGTGGCTTAAAACAGTAATAATTCATTCAGTCTCATAATTTGTAGTTTGGGTGATTATTATAAGTACTGTCAGCTGGAAGCTGGGATAGCTAGAAGGTCTGGAATGGTTTCATCCACACAGTAGGCATTTGGTACTGGCTGCCAGCTAAGAGCCAAGCAGAGGCCTTGGGGGAGGGCCTCAGCTGTCCTCTGCATGGGCCTCTCCATGTGGCGGCCTCAGCTTCCTCAGAGCATTGGGCTAAGTTCCAAGAAGGGAAGGCAGAATTTAAAGATCCCTTAACGCCCAGACTTCTGCCACATTCCATTTGTCAAAACAGGTCACAGGGCCAGTTGTGTTCAAGGTGAAGGGAAATAAACTCTAGATTCCACTTTTTGATGGAAAAATGGCCAGGTCATCATTGCAAACGAGCGTGAAGAATGGAATATACTGGTGTGGTCTTTTTTGGAAATACAACCTACCACAGCCAGAGTGTATGTCTACGTATGTAATTTAAAATAAGATGGTCAGGGGAGGCCTTCAGAGACAGTGACATTTGAGCAAAGACCTGAAGAAGAAGAGAGGAAGCCTTGCAGATATTTGGGATGAAAGCGTTACACACTGAAATAATTGTAAATACAAAAACTCTGATGTGGTAATGAGCCTGGTCTACCCAAGGGATGATAAGGAGGCCACTGTGACTGAAGTAGAGGGCCAAGAAGGAAGGAATAAGTAGTTAGAGGTGAGGTCAAAGAAGTCATGAAAGCCAGATCATGTAGGGCTTAGAGGAACCTAGAGAAAGGAATGTTTGGTTAAAAGGATAAATAATTGTGTTTCCAACAGGTGTCCATAGAATAGGCCCTTCCTATGTGGTAGTAACAAAAATAAGTAAAAACTTGAGAAAGAATCTCCTCACTCCCCACCCCCAAATTCCTGCCAGATAATTCCATAACTAGTTCCTGTCCACGGGCAACTCTATTCCACTTCCTGAAGTATAGTTTTCACAGGGAGGCGGCACAGCCTGTTAGAAAAGTTTGCCTCTACTCCTCAAACCCTGCTCTATGTGAATGAATTATCACATACATATGAATCTAATTTTCATTTCAGATACTGTCCAACTTCCCACCTTACCAACTTAGGAAAACTTCATCTTTCTTTTCAGTTTTATAGATGATGTCATTGTTGATTTTAAATTATAAAATGGAATGCTTCCAAAGGAGGTTACAGTTCCTGCTGCAATATATCAGTCTTAGAACATGAACAACTTGTAATTGTTAAGTGCATGTTCAAAGCTAATTGTGTGGCATTTGGTTGCTGCTTTTCAGGAAAACTTTTAAAAGCAGAGTATATTCTGAGCAGTCTAATAAGCAACAATGGAGCAACGGGTGAGTACTTTCATATCTTCACAATGACTTTTACCTCAGCCCCGAACAGAGCACTCATTTAATAACAACTTAGTGACTTAATAGTTACTATACCTTAGATGTTTCCAGAGCTATCTGGGGCTGGCTCTGCCACTGATGAATGAAGAAGCTTTGATCAAGCAGCTTACATCTCTGTGTCTCTGTTTTCTCTAAGTTAAAAAAAAAAACAACAAAGACAAGGAACCTACTATTGGCCTGCTTCCTTACAGAGTATGCTATCTAATGAACAATCACTGTCAAGGCAGATAACTCAGTGGGCCTTAGAAAGGTTCAACAGCAGCTTTTAAACAAAATTGTGATTGGAAATAAAAGCCTCTAAGTTCAGAAGAGTCTGCTTCGGCTTTATCAATTTAAATGGTTCAGAAAATGGATTTGATTTTTGGTACATAAGAACTTTAATAAAAACTTGTTTCAAAATGGATTTTCTTTCAATATTTAATTATCCATGAAAGGAGGCAAGACCTAATAGTTAGGTAACAAATAACTTAAGGCTTCAGATATCTTGTCTGAATTTCTGGGCATTTAAGTTAGCAAGTTTACCAATAAGTTGAGCACAGTTTCCATTGGACTTTTAAACTCAGCATGCTTGGATGTGAGGTCTCAAACTGCCTGAAACTTGTGGACATTTCTAGTGGGGAGACAGTTTGGAATCCAAATATTAACCACACACCCCTCACTTGTGGCCACCATCACTAAACTACAGTATACACTCTTGTCATCATGTGTGTGTGCACACACACACGCACGCACACAAGGATTCAAAGCTAGGAAGAAAATAAATATTATCTGATGTGACAGAGAATGGTGAGGGGGTAGTAAAGAGTCTGCCTCTATTTTTGATGTTTGACCGACCACTGACAGTTTTCAGGCCACAGCCTTTTTTACTTTTGCCTCACACTGGACAGTCCGATTAAAACAAACAAACAAACAACAAAAAGCCCTTTCATCCACACACCCAAACCCAGCTTACAGGAACCTTTACCCGGCCCCACACCCCAATCACAGTGAAAAGCAAAGCCGCTCACCACTCCCTGCCTGAATCAAAGGAGCAGCTTAGGTGCTAGCCTTACTTACCCTAGAAAGTCTCATTATGTGAGCAATAAATCTTCTCATACCCTCTTGGTACATGTGTGCAGTCATCAGTTTTGACATCCAAACAAATTTTCCTCAGATGGGATCCACCCCACGCTCCGCAAAGCAACCATAAGACAGTGGGGGTAACAGTGTAGAAATACTACTCTGTGGAGGCCTTTGAGGAAAAGCACTGAGGCTGAGACCTGAAGGAGAAGGATCTGGTTTCTTAAGAAGCCAGAGGAAAGAGAATCCCAAGCAGGGCTAGTGGTAAGTGCAGCTGCCATGAAGCAAGAGGCCAGCCCTATAACAAGGAGGCAAAATAAAGTAGAGTGGACAGAGAGTAAGTAGGGGAACTGGAGACCAGACAGGAGTCAGTTCCTGCAGAGCCTTAGACTACAGCAAGAAGTTTGGACCTGATTCTAAATGTAGAGACGAGATTGTTTCTCAAAATGATGTCACATGTGCTCATGAAGACTTCTGTGAAAATAGTTTTAATTTGCAAGGCTATATCTCTGATAATTCAAGGGAATTTTCATCTTTTCTTTTAGGTACCTGGCTGTACAGAAATGAAAGTGACAAGGTCCTGGTGCAGTCGGTCTGTATACAGATCAGAGGGCAGATTCTGCAAAAGCTGGGTACAATCATGTAAAACTTGCATTTCTCAAGGCTCATTTACAAAGCCTGGCTGCATGGTTTCACTGTGGAATTTTCTTCTTTTATCAGGCTAAAATTGTTAATTTCCACTTGCCTTAGTTTCCTCATCGAAAAGAGAATGGCATTTAAGATCCTAGGAGTGTCACAAATATTAATAAAATGTGTTTTTTTCTAGTGAGTTTTGTTAGAGAGGTTCACGGTTGTATATTGTAATGTTAACTGTAGGGTTCCCAGTGTTATTTCTAGCATCTGACTCAGTTCAGCAGGACTCCATGTGATATGGTGACACCTTATACTATACCCACCGTGACACTGTTTTCGTTCATTCCTTAAGGTATTCATGAATTTTTCAAGTTTATAGAATGCTAATATACTTTAGAATGCAAAATAATGGTTTGAGAAATTTTAACAGGAGGTGGCAATTATTATTTTTGTAAAAAACTGAGATAACTACATATATTACACATATTATATATACAAATATATAATAATTCTGTTTCCCAGTGAAATGGAAAAATTGTCTATATTACAACTGGAAAAACATTGCTGTGTCAATCTAATCTAAGCCTAAGTTTTCCTAACAGAATCTAATGAGTCTTGGTTCTGTATTTGTTTTCAAAGGTTTTCTCTATACAAGAGCACAGATACTAGCTGTTCCTCCCCTGTCCCTCTCCCCGCCCCTCTTTTTTTTTTCAGGGATGTGGTACGAAGCAGCAGAGTTAATATGGGCCTCCATTGTAGGATATTTGGCACTTCCTCAGCCGGATAAAAAGGTGGTTTGTCTAGTGCTTCTTTTTCTCCTTTCCTGTATTTGTCTTTGGATGATTATCTCTTCATGACAGAAGTCCATTTCTCATATATCAATTTCATCTGTCCTATTTTTATTTATTTTTCACAAGCATAGGGCCAGGTACAGTTAGTAGCTTCCTTATGTGTCTTGCTTCATCCTCACTCACAGCTAGACTCTTGGTGCATAGATGGTGTTCTTATAATCATTTGTAACTGTCCATTTATATATTTATCTCTACTGGTCCATTCATTTATCTGTTTTGTTATATATTTACTCTTTACTTGATTGCATAGCAAAGTTGAGATGACCAAGTTGCTTATATGTAAAATCAGTTTTCTTGAGTTGAGTGGGCGAAGACTTCAACTGTTTATATAGCACCTTTATTCAAGAAATTGAGGAAGGTCATCTGCCTTCCTACTTGACATTTTCATTTTCTGGAATTCTGTGGGAATAGTCTCATTATCTGAAACATCTGGTTATTACATTTCCCTGAGCTGTGTAAGCAATTACTGTCTACGATTCTTTTACAATACAGACTGATATGAGCTCTTCCTTGGGCCAGTTATTCAGGCCTAGCAGTAGGGACAAGTTAGTATTGATCATCCAGTGAAACCCAACTGAGAAGTAGCTGTGTTTACATTAGGCCCATGTGCCCTAGGATGTGTTGATCCTTCAAGCTCTGTGGCAGCCAATTTAAAAATATCTCCAAGTCAGGGTATTAATTATTACACAATGTATATATATGTCAAAATGTCACATTGTATCCCATAAACATGTATAATTATTATATACATGTTTGATATAAAACATGTATTTTTAAAAATAGTATTTTTAAAAATAGTATTTTTAAAAATTGATTTTTAAAAATAGTATCTCCAATGTCATAGTAATAAAATATTAATAGGCAAATAGTTCATATGGAGGAATAATCATAGCCTTTAGGCCATGGATGAGAGCAGTAATCCACTGTGAATTCCCGATCTGTGACTTCTTTGTGTTTTTCTTACAGGGCCTCTCCACGTCGCTAGGTATACTGGCAGACATCTTTGTTTCCATGAGCAAGAACGATTATGAAAAGTTTAAAAACAATCCACAAATTAATTTGGTAATTATCATAACACTGAGTGGCATCACCTGTAAAATTGTCAATCGTGTCCTTGGTGGTTGGTTAGTGGCTGTCTTTCTCAGGAGATTGGGAGGCAGGGAGCTCAGTGCTGCGCCTCCTAGACAAATGGGAGGAATCCTGGGGAGGAGTCTTGTGGGGTCCTATTTGGCTTTATTATCCCAGCGCCTAGCACTGTAACAGACACTCAGAGAGTGCTCAGAAAGTTACTGGTGAATGAATGAATGAATATCAACAAAATGATTTTGAGCCTCACTTCTTTCCTTTCAAAGTATAACAAAATGCAGTTTCCAAACTTGGGCCATCTTGATGATAAAGGGGTAATAATTTTAAAACTTTGTAATCACCATCTGTTCAAATCAGAGCATCAGTCCCTTGTTCCAGGCTCTCGTCCTTGATAATAATGACTGCTAATTTTTATATATCACTTTACAACTCAAGAAAGTATATATATATCCAATAAAACCCTATGAGGAGGGTAGAGCAAAGTGTATCATTCCATTTTAGAGAAAAATAAAATGCAGTGCAGAGAAACTAACTAACCTCTGCAGTTTACACAACCAGTAAGAGAGAGAACTGGGAGCTGAGCCCAGATCTCTGACCAGCCCAGAGAAGTGACAAGGATGTTCTGCTGCTCTTCACACTGTGCTTAAATGGAGTTTTTATTATCGTCTATATTGCCATTTTTATTCAAGACCCCATTATTAAAGATACCATTAAATCACAACAGTAACCATGCTCAATACTAATTAGTGTAGCAAAAGAACACATACAGCTTGCTGATGGTAATCTGAATCTAAGATGTTGCTTTTTCTGTTTGACCAAAACAGGAGGATCATGTCCCTTGTTCACTGAAGTTATCCCTGATGACCGTTTAAAATTGCAAACTTCCTTCCCATCCTGGGCCTCCCTAACCCCTTCTCCATTTATTGTCTCTCCAGAACACTTGTCATAATCTCAAATACTATGCACTTTACTTGTTTTGTATATTGACTGGTCCCTCCCCCACAACAGAAAGTAAGCTCCTTGAGGGCTCACTGTCTGCTGTTTCCCCTGTGTCTAGAACAGGCCCTGGAATGTGGTGGTACTCTATACGTATTTACAGAATTAATAAATGAATTCTAATTGCTGTGAAATCATCAATTAAAGGGCTCTTTGCCAAGAGCGTGCAGAAATCAATTAATCTGGCTTCAAAATGTGCAGTTCCTTTGAACAAAGAACTGCCACCGTCCTCCAAAGAAGCTCACCCAAATTATTTTGCACAGGTGTGTGTCTGCTGGGAAAAAGGAAAGTCAACACCTTGTGGTCTTTAGACCCACTTACTCTTTCTTTACACTGTTCTGAACGGGTTGCGGTGAGGAGTCCCTTGAAATCATGAAAGAAAAGCAAAACCATTTCATAGCCTGTTTTTTGCTCATCGATAATTAATTATCACCATTCCACTTAGCCTCCTGTTTTCTCACAGAGCCTGCTGAAGGAGTTTGACCACCATTTGCTGTCCGCTGCAGAAGCCTGCAAGCTGGCAGCTGCCTTCAGTGCCTATACGCCGCTCTTCGTGCTCACAGCTGTGGTAAACGAATGCAGCCGCTCCTCAAACCCCCACAGGACCTCTCCCAGGGTGCTTTCTGATGTAACCAGTGAGAAGGGAAAGGTTTAACCTTCAAACAGGCTTTGTGTCTCATCAGTGGCAATTGTGATAAGACTCCACACCACATATGGAAAAATTTTATTGGTCGGAGTTTTGACAGCCTACTAGGAGCTAAATTAATTCAGCCCAAGGGTAGATTGTTGTCTGTTGTGAAGCAATGGTTCCCAAGCCTGAGTGCACATCAAAATCACCCAAGGAACCTTCTCAAAATACATATTCCTGCCAGGCATGGTGGCTCACGCCTGTAATCCCATCACTTTGGGAGGCCAAGGTAGGAGGATGGCTTGAGCCCAAAATTTCAAGACTAGCCTGAGCAACATGGTGAGACTTTGTCTCTACAAAAAATTAAAAAATAAAAATTGGCCAGGTGTGGTGGTACGTGCCTATAGTCCCAGGTACTGGGGAGGCTGAGGTGGGAGGATCACCTGAGCCTGGAAGGTTGAGTTTGCAGTGAGCTGAGATTGCACCACTGCACTCCACCCTGGGTAACAGAGCAAGACCCTACCTCAAAAAAAAAAAAAAAGAAAAGAAAAGAGAAAAAGAAAAAGAAAAAAAAAAGAAAGAAAAAAATACTACACATTTCTGAGCTCCACCCTAGATCCACTAAATGCAAATCTCTGAGGTTGGTATCCAAAAATCTTTAATTTTGGAATATTGTCCAGGTGATTCAAATGCACAGATGCATTCGGAAACCAATGCCCTATTGTTTCGACATTAAATGAATGATGTATTCATATATGGCATCCTTATTTGCATAGAGAAACTTATATCCATTTCCATGGATAGACTCTGTTAAAACTAACAACAGCAACAAACACAAGCCTATCGTCTTTAATCAAAATGTATCAAAGATACAATAGGATGGTAATTGAAGCTGATTTCTTACCCCTTCATGCCAGCCAGTCACTTATATCCCCATCCCTTCTTCTGATTCACCAAAAAGGCCTCGGGTCCTTAACTCAATGTTTGCCTGTATATTTTCCTTAGAATGTATGTGGCATGTGTTCATTTTTCTATAATATTTCAAATGACTGTCCTCCAGAAATGAAAAGTTTGTCCTGATTCACTTGCAGTTTTCAATTCAATATCTGATTTGGTATTTGGTATTTTTCCCAGAATATCCGTGGCACGTGTTTATTGTCCTACAGTAGTTCAAATGACTGTCCTCCAGAATTGAAAAACTTACATCTGTGTGAAGCCAAAGAGGCCTTTGAGATTGGCCTCCTCACCAAGAGAGATGATGAGCCTGTTACTGGAAAACAGGAGCTTCACAGCTTTGTCAAAGCTGCTTTCGGTCTCACCACAGTGCACAGAAGGCTCCATGGGGAGACAGGGACGGTCCATGCAGCAAGTCAGCTCTGTAAGGAAGCAATGGGGAAGCTGTACAATTTCAGCACTTCCTCCAGAAGTCAGGACAGAGAAGCTCTGTCTCAAGAAGTTATGTCTGTGATTGCCCAGGTGAAGGAACATTTACAAGTTCAAAGCTTCTCAAATGTAGATGACAGATCTTATGTTCCCGAGAGTTTCGAGTGCAGGTTGGATAAACTTATCTTGCATGGGCAAGGGGATTTCCAAAAAATCCTTGACACCTATTCACAGCACCATACTTCGGTGTGTGAAGTATTTGAAAGTGATTGTGGAAACAACAAAAATGAACAGAAAGATGCAAAAACAGGAGTCTGCATCACTGCTCTAAAAACAGAAATAAAAAACATAGATACTGTGAGTACTACTCAAGAAAAGCCACATTGTCAAAGAGACACAGGAATATCTTCCTCCCTAATGGGTAAGAATGTTCAGAGGGAACTCAGAAGGGGAGGAAGGAGAAACTGGACCCATTCTGATGCATTTCGAGTCTCCTTGGATCAAGATGTGGAGACTGAGACTGAGCCATCGGACTACAGCAATGGTGAGGGAGCTGTTTTCAACAAGTCTCTGAGTGGCAGCCAGACTTCCAGTGCTTGGAGCAACTTATCAGGGTTTAGTTCCTCTGCAAGCTGGGAGGAAGTGAATTATCACGTTGACGACAGGTCAGCCAGAAAAGAGCCTGGCAAAGAACATCTGGTGGACACTCAGTGTTCCACTGCCTTGTCTGAGGAGCTAGAGAATGACAGGGAAGGCAGAGCTATGCATTCATTGCATTCACAGCTTCATGATCTCTCTCTTCAGGAACCCAACAATGACAATTTGGAGCCTTCTCAAAATCAGCCACAGCAACAGATGCCCTTGACACCCTTCTCGCCTCATAATACCCCAGGCATTTTCTTGGCCCCTGGTGCAGGGCTTCTAGAAGGAGCTCCAGAAGGTATCCAGGAAGTCAGAAATATGGGACCCAGAAATACTTCTGCTCACTCCAGACCCTCATATCGTTCTGCTTCTTGGTCTTCTGATTCTGGTAGGCCCAAGAATATGGGCACACATCCTTCAGTCCAAAAAGAAGAAGCCTTTGAAATAATTGTTGAGTTTCCAGAAACCAACTGCGATGTCAAAGACAGGCAGGGGAAAGAGCAGGGAGAAGAAATTAGTGAAAGAGGCGCAGGCCCTACATTTAAAGCTAGTCCCTCCTGGGTTGACCCAGAAGGAGAAACAGCAGAAAGCACTGAAGATGCACCCTTAGACTTTCACAGGGTCCTGCACAATTCTCTGGGAAACATTTCCATGCTGCCATGTAGCTCCTTCACCCCTAATTGGCCTGTTCAAAATCCTGACTCCAGAAAAAGTGGTGGCCCAGTCGCAGAGCAGGGCATCGACCCTGATGCCTCCACAGTGGATGAGGAGGGGCAACTGCTCGACAGCATGGATGTTCCCTGCACAAATGGGCACGGCTCTCATAGACTGTGCATTCTGAGACAGCCGCCTGGTCAGAGGGCGGAGACCCCCAATTCCTCTGTAAGCGGTAACATCCTCTTCCCTGTCCTCAGCGAGGACTGCACTACCACAGAGGAAGGAAATCAGCCTGGAAACATGCTAAACTGCAGCCAGAACTCCAGCTCATCCTCAGTGTGGTGGCTGAAATCACCTGCATTTTCCAGTGGTTCTTCTGAGGGGGACAGCCCTTGGTCCTATCTGAATTCCAGTGGGAGTTCTTGGGTTTCATTGCCGGGAAAGATGAGGAAAGAGATCCTTGAGGCTCGCACCTTGCAACCTGATGACTTTGAAAAGCTGTTGGCAGGAGTGAGGCATGATTGGCTGTTTCAGAGACTAGAGAATACGGGGGTTTTTAAGCCCAGTCAACTCCACCGAGCACATAGTAAGTACAATCTTTTCAATAGTTCCCCCCTCAGGAAGCAGCTGTGTTGGGGCACTCTGAAGAGCTTGGTATGTAGATCACTTAAAGCTCATGAAAGGTATAGAACCCTGGTATGCTTTGTGAGTTCACAGAGAAATGTATACTTCAGGGGTCTCCCTCACTCTGTGCGATGGACCTTAATGGTTGTAAAGAAGCTTGCTCAGGCTACCTTGCATGCTGGAGGTTTGCTCTAAGGACACACGAGGTAGTGAGGGAGACAGGAAACTTAGAGGACTCTGGCACAGCCATCACTAAGGGTTGAAAACAGCTCTGGAGGCCGTCTCATCCACTCAGCATCTATCTTCTTCATTGATTCTCATTACCAATCAGGTGATTTTAACAGGCTGGATACCATATTATCTGCTCAGCATCTATCTTCTCCTTCGAGTCTTTTTACCAACCAACTGATTTTTCTCTATCTTTCCCCATTAGAATTCTATGGGGACATGGTTTGACCTAGTTAAATATCATCTTTCTATTGGGCAGAGACTTTTTACACCTGTCTACCTAAGCGGTTTCTTGCCAGCCAATTGGTTGGTCAAGTGCATCCTCATCTTGTATTCATGATTCTGTAACAAAATGCCATCAACTGGGTAGCATATGAACAACAGAAATTTATTCCTCATAATTCTGGAGCCTGGAAGTCCAGGATGAAGGTACTGCTTTCTGGTTCATTGACAGCGCCTTTTCTCTGTGTCCTCACATAGTGGAAGGGGGAAGGGTTTCTCTGGGATCTCTTTTATGAGGGCACTCATCCCATCTATGAGGAATCTACCCCTCAGGACCTAATCACCTCCCAAAGTCTCCAGCTCCCAACACCATCACCTTGTGGGTTAGAACTTCAACATGTGAATTTAGGGGGGATAAAAACTTCCAGACTACAGTACCCCTACTGTTGCAATCAGCAGCTACTTCTTGCTTAAGGAACAGCCCAATGTCACTGCCCAAAGCGGGAAGCCTGGGCTGGAGCCACCTAGTAGTCAATGTCTAACACAGCTTAAAAGTGGTAGAGAAGCTGGGAGGAAGACAGAAGGAGATTCTTCTCTTAGCCCAGGAATCACATCAAAATGCCCTCCTACTATACAGAAAAATGATTTGAATGATTAAAAAAACAAAAAGATTGTGAAGCACTTCCCAGAAGAGATAAACTACATGGATCACTAAGCACTGGCTATTAAATAGTAGTTCTCAACCCTGGCGCCACATGAGACTCTTCTGGGGAGCTTTTAAAAACTTCCAATGCCTCACCCCAGAGATTTCCATCTAATGGGTCTGGAGTGCGGACCCAGGGATCATTATTTCTTATCACCTCTCTGGTGATTCTGCTTAAAGCCACTGTTAAGAGCTTCTGCTTCAAAGTATTCCAATGTTTTGCCTGCCACCTTGAAGTCCGACTAAAATACAAATCACATTGTTACCAAAAAAAAGCAAAAATTTCCAGCAATAGGGTTTTCTTACTAACTGTGAGATTCTGCAATTTTGGAATCACATTTATTACAATGAGGTAACTGCTTTCTTCTTATTTGTTATCGTTTGCTAATTTATGGATGAAATACATTAGAGGAAGCAAGGCCCAAAATGGCAGAAACAGAACAATGATTCCCTTCCTCTTTTCTTCTCTCAATTTATCACCCGTCCTGTGTGTGGACAGACAACTCACCTTCCATTTCCATCCGGCTTCTCTAACTGAGTCACCCAACCCTGGTCACCATCCCGCCCAGCCCACAGGCATCCCCTGCCCAGAACTGTCAGTTTATCTTGCTTTAAGTATTTTCTCTCCCACGTATCCCATTCATTTATCTATTTTCACAATCTAGACAAAAGTCTTTGTTCACTTCATTTTAATTTCAACCAAAGTGTTGCACTCCTTCCTTAGGATTCATGTGGGTGTTTCTCCTCAAAGAGATGCTTTCTTGCTTAGCACTGTTCTTCCTTTCTATAAGGTGGAGACTGCCCCTACTTTTTCCTCTTATGTTTTCCTTTTTTCAGTTGAGTTCGCATGTTTTTACAGCAGCTACATTTTCTCAAATAATTTCCAAACTTTCTCAACTTAAAACAATGAAGAGAAAATTAGGGTGCACTTGAATATATAATGCTAGGATTCCCAGAGCTGCCATCAGTAGTAGCTTCTGTTATTTGGGATCCCCAGGTAATAATAGTAAGTTGCAAGCATGTGTCACTTGTCCCAAAATGGTCTCTGGGGTTTTCTGATTTTAAAATTCCTTTATTTTCCACTACTTTCATATAGAATCTTCATGCTTATCTTAATCCCTTTTCATCACAACTAAGGGATTTTGTGACTCAAAGGCTATTCCTCATTGTAATTTATAAAGTGTTACTTTTTTATTATTTCTCACTAACTTTTTAATACTGTAGTTGTCATAGAAGAGATGAAAATTAGAGAAAAGTGTATAAAAAAGTGAAGATTTCAGGTGAGCTGGCGTAGGACCTGTGTCACATCAGCTTTATTCATGAATTGTAACGTCCTTTTGAAAATAAGATTCATTTTCATCTTTTTTTTTCCCAGGTGCTCTTTTGTTAAAATATTCAAAAAAATCTGAACTGTGGACGGCCCAGGAAACTATTGTCTATTTGGGGGACTACTTGACTGTGAAGAAAAAAGGCAGACAAAGAAATGCTTTTTGGGTTCATCATCTTCATCAAGAAGAAATTCTGGGGAGGTATTACTTAAAAACATTTGTATAACTAATGTAAGATGAGCTAACCTTGCTCTTCTGTTAAGTAATCACTCATGAGACTTCGTAGGGGCTGAAAAACTTGGCCAAAATATATTTCCAGATTTCTACTCCTTTTTCTTTTCATTATTAATTAATTAACAACAGTTACTATATATTGAGGACCCACGTTACATCAGCTGTTTTGCTGGATGTTTTAGCTACAGGACCTCAAAACCATCAGGGAAACATTGGCCATACTGTACTGATAAGAAAAATAAAGTTCCTGGCCACATGACAGGCCAGAGAGCCTTCAATATTCACTAAAAATGCTGGCAAAAAAAGGTAAATTATGAAAAGCACACTTTTAAGTAAATAGGTGAGCCTGAAAAAAGGCAGGAAAATCCTGAGTCCAGGGATGAAGCCTGTTCAGGGATATAAGTGATTGCTGAACCCTTTAGGGATCCCGCATAGGCGTTTGAGGCAGGGGTGGAGTGAGGGTGCAGCCCGTAGCAAAAGCTACACCCAGAAGGGAATGAGTTCAGATACCACTCATACAAGCAAAGACTCAGGAATGGCTACATCCCCACGATAAAGGGTATCTTTGAAAACCCCACCCCAGTGAAGTAAATGCCTGGAAAGTTTTTGCTTTGGCCTTAGTTCTTAATAAAAATTTTAAACAAAAACTCACCTGAAAAATTAGTAACCACAGGTGGTCTTCATTGGATTTAAGACATAATTTTTTATCATTTGTATATTTTAAAAGACCTATAAGCCATGACTTTTCATTTAAAGTTGGCCTTGTTATTTGCTCAAATCCAAATAGTGTAAGAAATAAATAGAAATAGAGAAATCAAGTGTCTCTGTAAGCAGTGGAAGTACATTTCTTGAAAAGATTATTGATTATTATTATTATTTTAGTAAACATATGCCAGGTCCTGTTTTAAATGATTTATATGCTAATTCAATTAATCTTCACAAAACCCTCTGAGGGTAGATACTATTATTATTCTCACTTTACAGATGAGGGAACTGAGTCACAGAGATGTTAAGGAATTGCCTGAAATCACATGTCTAAGCAGTAGGGGCATGTGCTGATGCTTCACTTGTGTCTCCCAAAACTCATATATTGAAGTTCTCAGTACTTCAGACTACGATCTTACTTGGAAGTAGAGGGATTGCAGATGTAATTGGTGAAGTTAAGATGAAGTCATACTGGAGTAGGGTGGGCCCCTGATCCAATATGACTGATATCCTTATGAAAAGAGGAAATTTGGAGATAGACAAAGACGCAGAGAGAATGCCATGTGAAGATTGTAGTTATGTTGCCTCATAGCAGAGAACTGCCAGAAGCTGGGAGACAGCCTGAAACAGATTCTTCCTTAGAGCCTTCAGCAGGATGATGGCCCCATTGGAACTTTGATCTTGGACTACTATAGGCTTCAGAACTGTGAGAAAATCAATTTCTGTTATTTACGCCACCCAGTTTATGGCATGTTGTGACAGCAGCCCTGATACACCAGAGTATACCATAGGAGGACCTGAGATGAGAATAAATTGAGAATAAGAGACATAGAGAATGGAGTGGCAGAGTTCAATATATTTCTGATCAGAAGAAAATAACAGCAAGAGAGCAAAAACAATATTTGAATAGATACTTTCTGGTAATTTTTCAGAATTGCCAAAATACACTAATCTTGAAATACAGAAATCACAGTGAATCCTAAGGACAGAAGGGAAAGGAGGAAAGAAGCTGGAAGGCAGGTAGTCAGACATCCTGTGTACCTAGTTTGACTAGGTACACAGTAGTCAAACTCCAAACACTAAGGACAAAGAAACCATTTTAAAAGCAGTCAAAGAAAATAGACAGATTACGTACATAGAAATGTCAATTTGACCTACAGCTGGTTTCTTCATAGCAACAATGGAATTCAGAGACAATGGAAGTCATATACTTAGTGCAACTCTCTTTTATGGAGGAAGACAAAATAAAGACATTTGCAGCTTAAAAGGAAAAATGACCATGGCAGTTTACCATGAACAAATCCTCACTAAAGAAAAATGATCCCAGAAAAAAAATGGTACAAGATGAGAGAAGATATGGACTTCTGTTCTCAGATTGATGATCCCCTGCCTAAGACTGGAGGTCTTCTGGCAGAATGTTCAGGAAATGCTCCAGTAGCCAGTACTCACAGGTTCACTCTCTTGTGCACACCTCTGGTATCAGTCAACAAAATTCTGAATTAGTTCAAACCCTCTATAGGTCTTGCGGTCTCTCCATAGAAGAACTGCCTAAAGCACTGGTATGGCATCCCTATTACAACAACTGCTCCTCTGCAGGCTGCCTTCTGAGGCCATACTGCAGCCTCCACTATCAGATTTCCTTTCTGGTCTTCAGGAGTCTGAATGGCCAAAACCACAGCCTCCTTAAGTTCCATTATTATATGGGATTCAGAAATTTCTGGAGAGAGTTTACTCTGGTTGAAGTCTATGACTCAAACAATTCCCCTTGATTTTTGGTGGTCACTCTGGGCACATGTGAAATTACTCACAAATTCACACCAGTTTACAGCAAGTATAAACTACAGTAAAGTGCAGCACTGTTTTGCTTCTTTCCGCATGTAATCATTTACTGCCTTGTGTCTTCCCACACCAACTGTGCTATTAGCTCTTGAAATATACAAATCATGTCTCACACTTTCTTCAAGTCACTCAAGACTAGCACAGTGTTATGCACATAATAGGTATTGACGGATAATAAGTATTTATAGGAATGAAGTAATCATAAAAGGAAGGGATAGAGGAAGGCTTCAGATTGATGAACTGACTATATAAGGCCACACTGCAGGGAGTGGAAGGTTTTGACTCCAGAATCCATGCACATTCCAGTATACTTTGCTGACCCCCTTGTCTTACCAGAGGTCTGGAGAACTTCTACATTAAGTGACACTTTCCCTTTATAATCAGTATCATTCTGGGTCAGCTAGAATGAGTGTGTTCCATTGTTCAAGTAGCTCTTACAAAATTATTTGAATCTTGAGATAAGTCAAAATAATTAATATTCAGTCTAAGGCAGAGAAAGAGATCTTTCAAGCATTTCTGCATATGTCTTTTGATCTCCTCTCTCTTACTCCATAGTAAGTAAGACCACTTTTGCATTTTGTTGTGTGGATTTTCTTTGTTCATAGGTATGTTGGGAAAGACTATAAGGAGCAGAAGGGGCTCTGGCACCACTTCACTGATGTGGAGCGACAGATGACCGCACAGCACTATGTGACAGAATTTAACAAGAGACTCTATGAACAAAACATTCCCACCCAGATATTCTACATCCCATCCACAATACTACTGGTAAGATTATCCTGAACACATCATTTGGATCTTCCAAATCACACTTGAATATCAATTAATCTGAGTATCTGGTTCCACATAATCAGGCTAGCATTTTTAGCAAACTATCCTTGTGTGTTGTCCCTGTACTTTCCAAGAGAGAAAGAACCCTAAAGATTTATCTAGTACAAACTATCCCCTCAACATGATACATAAATCCCATTTTACATCTGTTGGCCTCACCCCTTGCAACCAAGTGATTGCTAAGTCAAAGCTTACACACCTTCAGCAAGAAAAAATAATTGTTCTCCTTTCACTTTCAAGTAATCCTAATTGTTAGAAAGTTCTTAGACTTAGCCCAAATCTATCTTTATCTAACTTCTGTCCATGGATTACAGCTCTCCCTCCTGGGACCATGAAGACCAGTCTCTCTTCACTAACATACCCCTTTCAATAGATAAAGGCTAATATTCCCATTGAGTTTTCTCTTCTTTGGATCAAGAATGCCTTGCTACCCCGAATATATTAGATCCTGAGTGCATTCATACTTGCAATAATTTTTTCATTGGCCAGAGACATTTTTAGACCCGTCTTTTCCTAATCATAATAGTAATTATCATCCATTTCATACCTTCTTTATGTCACTCACTGTGCCAGGCAGTTTGCAAACCTTAACTCTAACCTTTGAAACAACTCCACAAAGCTGATGTTTTAACCTAGAGTCCCTGAGCATGATCTAACTTCATGTCCTGGTAACCTAGCCTCCAGGACAGGTCACGTCATGGCCTAAATCTTAAGTGAGCAGTTTAATATGTGAATGACAATAAATTTAAGTTCTATGACATGCCACATGCCGTGTTAAGCATTTTACATGCATTTCCTTGCATAATCCCTTTAACAAGCCTAAAAGGTAGTTATAATTATACCTACTTTACCCATGATGAAATTGAAGCTCAGAGAAGCAAAGTGGCAGAGCCTAGGTTCAAACCAAGATTTACCCAAGTCCAAAGACAATGGCCTTTACCATTATGCTGTAATGTTTCTCATTGCTATTTTTCAGATTTTAGAGGACAAGACAATAAAGGGATGTATCAGTGTGGAGCCTTACATACTGGGAGAATTTGTAAAATTGTCAAATAACACGAAAGTGGTGAAAACAGAATACAAAGCCACAGAATATGGCTTGGCCTATGGCCATTTTTCTTATGAGTTTTCTAATCATAGAGATGTTGTGGTCGATTTACAAGGTATGTGAAACTGGGAATTATTTTTATTTTTAATATTATATGTAAATGTGAAGTTTTGTAACTAGCTTCCCTAATCTTTACTTAATAGATTGTTCCATGTATAGGCTATTATTTGGAGTTAACTTAATTGATCTTACTATATATAGCAAATAATTCCTGAAAGAAAAATATGCCCAAAACTTCTACAAATGTCTACAGTATCACATAATCAGTGAGAGGGTCTGGCTTATGTTCTGTTGGGCTTTGTTCCAGAGCATCTCTATAACAGCTTTTTTTATTTCACTTAAGTAGATTTGAGTGATGTATATTTCGTTGCATTTTTTTCACATGTCAAAATCTTCTTTCCACTTTTCCTTTTCTCCAGCCCCTTACCCTTATTAAAAGTGTGATGTTGGGTTTCATAATGGGGGTCATTATAGAACAGAAATCTGTATCTTTAAACTATGTACTTAAATATGACTACTTTTCAATTCTACCTTAATATTTTAATTTTGTTTTAGTTTGTCTGGTATTTTATTCATCAGAATTTTTATTAGAAAATACCCTATACTTCATGTAAATTATAAGTAAGATTTTTTACTAGCTTGTTCAGTCGGTACCACCAGTGCCTAAAATAGTGTTTTGTAGAGTGTCTGCACTCAATAAATATTTGTTGAATGAACAGATGAGTATATGAATTAATGAATAAGTCACTAAAGAAATCTCTGAATCATGAAAGAAATATTCCATATTATGATATTGATAATTATTCTAAGTATATTTTATTGCTTTCTAATACCTTGAAAAATTGGTGATCTGGGGATGTCATATTTGACAAATATAACTGCCCAATATTTAATTATTCTTAAACTAATAACTGGAATATGCCATCCAAATTCCTTACCAGGAATTTACTAACTATAAACCACAGGATGGCCAAGTTTTTGAATTATCTCTTTAAGTGTGTGTGTGTGTGTGTGTGTGTGTGTGTGTATGTATTTTTGTAAACACTTGATGGACATTTACAGGGAATTTAATACTCAGGTGTGTTCATTTCTCTTTTAGGTTGGGTAACCGGTAATGGAAAAGGACTCATCTACCTCACAGATCCCCAGATTCACTCCGTTGATCAGAAAGTTTTCACTACCAATTTTGGAAAGAGAGGAATTTTTTACTTCTTTAATAACCAGCATGTGGAATGTAATGAAATCTGCCATCGTCTTTCTTTGACTAGACCTTCAATGGAGAAACCATGTAAGTCATAGGCTGTATGGATTGGTAATGTGACAGACCTTAGTGATGCTCTCAAATATCTGGTGATGCTCGCAAATATCTGGTTCTCTCCTTCCAGGCACATAGAATACGGCACAGTCTGGTCCTTTGGGGCTTGGGCAGGGCCGTGACACAGGTTCTGGCCAATGATTTGCAAGAGGAATTGATCAGTATCACTTTAAGTCCTGCATTTAATTGGCAGCACAAGATCCTGCAGAGCCTCTTTCCCTCTGCCACAGTTATCAAGAATGGGTCAGGAGACCGCTGCTTCTGGGCATAAGTCCTGCAAGGAAAGCAACATGGAAAACAGCCCCAACTCACCCATGAGGGATGAAAAGCACTCTTGAGAAAGGCATGTGTTGTTTAAGCCATTGAGATTTTAGAGCTTTTTGTCACTATCTGTCAAGACTGATACTACTGGGGCTTTTCCTATTGATTTGGGAGTTCTTTACATATTAAAAAAATGTGAGCCTTTGTGATACGAATTCAATTTGTTTTCCTGTCTTTTGACATTTGACTTTGCATAAAAGTTTATCTGTGCATAATTTTATATGTAGTTGAATTCATCAATCTTTTATTTTGTATGGCTTTTTGGTTATGTATAATACTTAGATCCTCCTTATACTCTGAGTTTCTTTCTTTTTAATTCTCCTGTATTTCCTTCTAGTATAATTAAATCTGTAAAAAGTAAGATGGAAGAGTGGTACAGTTTTCTTTATCCAGTCTGTCCTTGATGGGCATTTAGGTAGACTGGATAAAGAAAATGTGGTACATATACACCATGGAACACTATGTGTATTAATCCACTCTCACACTGCTATGAAGAGATACCTGAGACTGGGTAATTTAGAAAGAAAAGAGGTTTAATTAACTCACAGTTCCACATGGCTGGGGAGACCTCAGGAAACTTACAATCATGGCAGAAGGCACCTCTTCATAGGGTAGCAGGAGAGAGAATGAGTGCCAGCAGGGGAAATGCCAGATGCTTATAAAGCCATCAGATCTTGTGAGAATTCATTCACTCTCACGAGAACAGCATGGGAAAAACTGCCTCAATTACCTCCTACCAGGTCCTTCCCATGACACATGGGAATTATGGGACTACAATTCGAGATGAGATTTGGGTGGGGACACAAAGCCAAACCATATCACAATGTAACCATAAAAAAGAATGAGATCATGTCCTTTGCAGGGACATGGATAGAGCTGGAGGCCATTATTTTTAGCAAACTAATGCAAGAACAGAAAACTAAATACCACTTGTTCTCACTTATAGGTGAGAGCTAAGTGATGAGAGTAGGTGGACACATAGAGGGAACAACACACACCAGGGCTTATCAGAGGGTGGACAGTGGGAGGAGGGAGAGGATCAGGAAAAATAACTAATGGGTACTAGGCTGAATACCTGGGTGATGAAGTAATTCGCACAACAAACCCCCATGACACAAACCTGCACATGTACCCCTGAACTTAAAATAAAAGTAAAAAAAAAAAATCATTGAATATTGTGAACTCTATGAATATACCAAAACCATTGGACTAGACACTCAAAGGGTGAATTTTATGGTAGGTAAGTTATACCTCAATAAAGCTTTTTTTTTTTAAAAAAAAGAATAGTCTTGCAAAAAAAAAAAAGAAGAAGAAGAATGATACATTTTCCTGGCTACCACAGTCCATCCCTTACCCTACACAGATCTACTTCTTCACACAGGTTTAGGAAACAGCTCCTCCATGATCTTACTGAAAGAAACAAAAGGGCGACTAGTGAGATAAACCAATTCTTTTCTGCAGTTATTCTTGGGGCTGCAACTGGTGCTCACTCTCCCTATCCTCCACTGTTCATTCTAAGTTTCCCTCAGCCTTAACTATTAACTCAGGAAGTCTGGGTGGCTTACCTGGTTGGTGAGACTCAAACTTACATACATGATCTTCATGTATCAAGTCCAAACATTTGATAGTTTATACTCTTCTCAATTTGAGGTTGCTGCACATGTCTCTTCACAGTTGCAGTTGAGGCAAGGAAGACCCATTCCAATCTCCTGCTGTGGGGATCACAGTTGATTGACACTCCCAGCTTTCACTCCCCTGAATCCATCACTGTGTTTATGCTGAAGCCATGTTGCCCTCAATGTGCTGTCAGCCAGTGACTAAGCATGACAAGGACACTAGTCTCAGAATATTTCTAACTGCTGACTGTGACTGTGGAACAAAGTCTTAGCACTGGCCTAACCAAAACTTTCTTAAGGCCGGGCGTGGTGGCTCAGGCCTGTAATTCCAGCACTTTGGTAGGCCGAGGCAGATGGATCACCTGAGGCCAAGAGTTCAAGACCAGCTTGGCCAACATGGTGAAACCCCATCTCTACCAAAAATACAAAAAAAAAAAAAAAAAAAGCTGGTCATGGCTAATTTTTCAGGAGGCAGAGGTTGCAGTGAGCTGAGATGGCACCACTACACTCCAGCCTGGGCGACAGAGCAAGACTCCATCTCAAAAAACAAAAGCAAACAAACAAAAAAACTCTTTTCTTTGCTCTCTCCTTTTATAGGCATCAGGCCCACAGCATGGTCCCCTGCCTACTCTTGTTCCCTCCAACTGATCCTTTACAATCATTTCTCCCAATAGAGGTCTTTCATGTCTAATCCTTTCCTGGTATCTGCTTCTTGGAAAACCAAAGCTAATACATGCTTATTAAGGAAATGAAAAAAAAATGTAATCTATCCTATTAACAAAGTAAAGGGAGGAAATCATGTAATTTCACAAGATGTAGAAAATTATTTCATAAAATTCCAAATCAACTCATGGTAAAAGAAAAAAAACAAGCTCTTTGAAAACTAAGAATAAAGAAAAGGTTTCTAAATCTGGCAAAGGTTTTTTTATTTTAAACTTAAAACAGCAATACCATAATTAATAGTGAAGCAATTAAAACTTTTAAGTTGAGAAAAGGAACAAGACAAATTTGCCTACTATCCCACTTCTATTCAACATCATAGAAGAAGTCCAACTAATAAACATAGAAAGACTAAACTAGAAAATCATGATTTTGCATCCATTAATGAAATAATGGATCTGGGCAGAAAGCATTGATGGCTGGGGAAAATTAGATGGAGAACTTTATAATGGAGAAATCAGGCTGATGCTACTCACACTTCAGTCAATCTGATCACTAAAAGTGGGATAATGAATCAGTGATAAAATGACATTTTTGAGACAATTGGGGATTTTGAATATGGACTAAGTGTTAGATAAAATGATGAAGTGATATCTTAAAAACATTCAGCCAAAAGAAAAATTTGGAAAAAGATGTGAAAACAGCTTGACTCTTTGGGGTTAATGTTGAAGGGAGATGATTACATAGCAATTCATTGTACCAGTCTTTCTACTTTTCTATATATTTTTAAATCTCAAAAAAAAAATCTTAAATGTAAGGTCATAGAAAGGAAGAAATAACAAGAAAAGTTTGAAGAATCAATAGATAAAGAAGATGAAAACCAAGAATGGTATCAAACAAACTAATCAGGAAAGAATATAAGGAGGAGCATTCAGCAGTATGAAATCCAGCAGAAAAATTCAGGAAAAAAAAACAATTTGGGGGGTGAAAGACTGAGAACAGTGAAAAAAGATTGCTGACAGCAAAAAGAGGCTATTAATTGAGAGAGTGACCTTTGAGATGTTGTAGAAGGGGGTCAACAAACTATGATCCATGAGGTCAAAGCTGCTGTCATCTGTTTTTGTAAATAAAATTTTATTGGAACATAGTAACTTTATTCAATTATGTACTATCTACAGCTGCTTTTGTGTTACAATAGCAGAACTGAGTAACATTGTGACATAGACTGGATTTTGCAAAGTGAAAAATATTTACTATGTGGACCTTTACAGAAAAAAGTTTGTCAATCTCCATTTGTAGAAGATGAAATTGGGAATAAAGTTCAGGATATTTACAGTTAGAAAGAAATATGGTTATCTCTACCAACACAGAAGAAAAGGAGGAGCAACAATGGGCAAAGAAACTGGAAATTGGAGGTAATAAAGAAGTAAATTGATGGAAAGCACATCAAAGCCCACTTTTCTTTGTTAAGTCAAAAAGCTAGGATATCTGCTAAGTGAGATGACATTGGCATAACTAGGAATTTTAGAGAAATAGAGATTTTGTAGCAATGCATATCTCTGAGTTATAAAAAGCAGAAATAGTACTATTGAGAGGAATTTGCAGGAAATTGCATTTTTAAAATATCTGTAAATTTTTATTTATGTCGTCACCCATATACCCAACACCTGGTTGAAGAAATTAAATGTAATACTGTTTTTGAAGACTCCATCCCTGATCTCTACTTCCTCCTCTATCCAAGAGAAAATCACTGTCCAGAAACTGTTGATTATCATTCCCCTTACTATTGTTACACATTAACTTTTATTTAATGTTGTTATACATTTATATATTGCATAAAAGTAACAATAAATATCCAGTATTCTTTTAAAATGTTCAAAGCTTTGTATAAACATTTTAAAAGGCCAGATTAGTTTTTAAAAAGCCAAATTAATTTTCTAGAAAATGAAAAATACAGTAATTGACTATATAACTTACTAGAAAGTTTAAACAGCAAATTAGACATAGTTCAAGAAAGAATTATTAAAATGGAAGGAGAGATGAAGGAATTAGCTAAAATGCAGCAGAAAGATAAAAGGACAGAAAATACAAATGAGTGTTTAAGAGATGAGGAGAAAAGAAGGTCCAACATCATCTAGTGGGGGTTTTAGAGGGAGAAAAAGAGTACAAAGAAGAGGGAATTCTCTGAGTTAAGCAAAGAATGTGAATCAAGGAGGGAATGATCAACTATGTCAGATGCCACTGACAGATAAGTCAGATGAAAACTGTGAACTAAATTGTTGAATTTAGCAATGTGGAGTTCACTGGTGACCTTAATATTAGCAGATATAGATGAGTGCTGCAGCTGAAAGCCTGAACAGAAAGGAGTATTAGTTTTCTATTGCTGCATGTCTCAAACTTAGCAGCTTCAACCAACATATGTTTTATTATCTCACAGCTTCTTTGGGTCAGGAGTCTGGGCACAGCTTAGCTGGTCCTAAGCTCAGAGTCTCACAGGCTGCAATCAAGGTGCCGGTTAAACTGTGTTCTCATCTGGAGGCTTGACAAGAGAAGACTAAACTTTCAAGTTCACCAGGTTGTTGGAGAGTTCATCTAAATAGAAATATATATATATAAAAAATATTGAAATACTGATAGTGTTTTTCCCTAGTAAATCTATTACAGTGGATTTCATTTTCTTCTTTATCATTTGTTTCTCAAATTTTCTGCAATAAGCTTGCATTACTTATCTCAAAAAATAATATTTAATAAGAAATTCAAATGATTCTCTTTTCCAATAAAAGTCCACATTATTAGATCAGCATGTACAGCTTTCTTCCTTAGCCCACCAATACTCCTAGTCTTGCAATTTATGCTCTAGAAACACTGAACTACTTATGGTTTCAGTATATAGTTCATCCTGCCACCTCCCACACCACAATACAATGCTTTGTCATTTAGTAACTGTTTTCATGCTGTTTTTATACCTACCAGAACAATCACACCCCATGTCTTCTCATCCTTGAAGACTCACCTCATCCAACACCTCCTTCAAGAAATCTTCCCTGACATCCTTTATTCCCTTTCCCTCCCCACCACAACCCAGGTAAGGTACCCCTCCTTTAATGTTTTAAAATAACTGCAACTGTCATTTCACAGTTATTATAGAAGCTAATACACAATTGTATCACATTATCTACTGTAGTTAAATTATAATTATCTTGTGTATTATTTATCTATTGCTGCATGACAAATTAACCCCAAAACATAGAGGATTAAAACAACATTTATTAATTCTTACAGTTTCTATAGATCAGAAAAGGGTGGGGAGGGGTGGCTTAACTGGGTAGTTCTGACTCAGTCTCTCTTAAGCTGACAGTCAGGATGTCAGCTGCAGCTCCAGTCCTCTGAAGGCTTCCCCAGGACTGGGGAATCTGCTCCCAAGCTCTCTCATATAGCTGTTGGCAAGGAGACCTCTTCCTTGTTGGCTGTGGGTCAGAGGCTTCTGTTCCTCACCATGTGGCCTGTCCATAGAACAACATGGCAGTGGGAAAAATCGAAGGGAGAGAGAGGTGGAAGCCACAATGTCTTTTACAACCTAATCTTGCCTCCGAAGTAACATATCATCACATTTGTACTCTTTTGGTCACTGGTCACACAGACCAACCCTTGTACAATGTGGGAGGGCACCTTGGAAATTCATGCCCAAAAGGGCATGAATACCAGCAGGTGGGGATCACCGAGGGCACCTTGGAGATGGCTCTGTCTATCTCACCAGCCTGACTGAACTCGGCCTTGTGCCTCTTGCTACTCCCTAGCCCTGGCTTATTATAGTTTTGCATAATAATATGAAATACCAATAAGAATTGTTTGCATCTTAAATGATCAATAAGGGCTGATTAGCTTACTAACTCTTGCTACATAGGATGAGAGGCATAAGAAAAGAATGTCTGAGCTCTCCAGGCTTCAGAAAACCATTCTACAACAAGGAAGGGTGTGGGCAGATAAGTGGATGGATGGAAGAATTAAAAGTTGGAAAGAAAAAAAAAATGGCATTTTCTCAGTCCTTCCTCTAATTTATCAAGAAACTTATTTTGCTTCCTTTTGTTTAAACTTTTCTGATTTTTCTCCCTCCATTCTTTAATATTTATCTCATAGCAAACTGGATATTGAAAATTTTTCAAGTAATTCTTAGGAAAACTTCAATATTTTTCTAAGTTGAACTAAGAAATTGACTTTTAATCTTTTGCTTGTGGAGTGAGTTGAGTTTTGCAGTAACAACATTTAAAAAGCAAAGTTTGAGGAGTTGAGTTCAACTTAAGGAGACAATCTTTGTTTCTTCAGATATCAGAAATGTCAGGCTTTTGTTACTGTCTTTTAGCAGTGCTATTATTTTGAAGATGATATTTGTTCTGTGTGGTTTTAATATACAGATGTCCTCTGCCTGAACAGTTCAGTAGAAACTAGGTATAAAGTACAAGAAGCAAGCAAGAGAGGGTAAGAGAAAAAAAAATAAATCTCTTTATTATGGTGCATAAACCTTCAGTGTGAGGGAGCTTTGCAGCTGCACAAGGAGAAAAATGCATTCAAAAATATAATGCAAGTGTGAATAATCCTTTCTCGAATGCTGCTTGCAGACTGCTCCAGCTTTGTCAGGTGAACTTGAACCGGGCCATCAGATTTGCCCCCATTCCCATTGCACACTCTGTCTATCACCCCAGGGCATTCACCATCTTGACTGTTGTTTAAAGAGAACAAGCAATCCATCATTGAGCCAGGGAGTCACTTTCTCATAGAAAAGTAAAATCAGCATGTGACACTACTCAGCCCTAGTGTTTTGCAGATTAAAATGATACATGGCGACTCACGTGTTACTAGGAGGATTAAGTTGGTTATCTTGTTCCATTGCCCAGACAAAAGAATTCCCCTCAAGCAGTAAGTGGGAGCTTTACAGAAGCTAAAATCGTTGGGCTCAACTATACAGTGGTAAGACAGAGAATTTAACAAGAGAACAGAAAAAAAAAAATGTTATTTTACATCTAAGCACATTTTTTATTCCCTGCAAGAGATAGTACAAAGAAGAATCCATCCCAAAAGGGGAGCTGTGAAATCTTTGTACAAGTCTCTGCTGTTTGAAATGCCAATTTTATTACTAGAGATGGACACACAATTTATTGTCTGACTGCCTCTACAGTTGATTTAAATATGGTGAAATAAATGAGCAGCCGTTGGCCCTAGGGCTGTTAGCTTCATAAGAGTAGGTTACAAATCCTGCAGCTACAGTATCAAGTTATTAACACTGTTATTCCATTGTGTGATCTACATAGTAATAAAATTTTAAGTGAATCTCATAGAGAAATGAGCTCACAATGAAAGGCTGGGATACAGCCTTTAATTTACGAAGCCGAGGCAAATATTTATCATGTTACAGAAAATATTTTTATATAATTGAATCTGTAACTGTGTTGTGTTCATTTTCAAAAGTAATGTTCAAAAAGAAAAGATAAATATAAATATCATAGTATTTAATTTTAGATTAAATAAATGCATAAAGTTTTGCCATTCAGACCTTACACTGGAAATAATGACACAGGTTAAAGAGAAAGAATTGTTTTTGAGTTAGTTTTTTTGTTGTTGTTTGTTTGATTGTTTTTTAGGTTCCCATGCATTTCAGGCAACACTGTTGTTAGAAAATTCTTCACTATTTATTTTTTGCTCATACTTTGCCACACCAAGTTCTTTCTTAAAGTACAAACCATTTTTCTAGCCAAAAGGATTGCAAATCAAAGAATGCCCTATTTCTTTACTCTTAACTAAATTTTCAAACATTACATATCTTAATCAGCTGTACGTTCTCCAAGTATGCTGTAAAAATAAGAGACAACACTGGAATATCTGTTTTCTCTGCGAAGGACACACACCAGATTTAACCTTCTTTTTCTACACAAATCACAAAAAGGAGAGAGACTGCTGGAACACTTTTGTTAGACATTTGACATGGTCTCTCCCAATAACAGAAGGACCCACAGCGACTGGCTTTGAAGGGCTATGTTCCCAACATGATTTCAATAGGGAACATTCTCTCTGGACTGAGCACCTGGATCATGGGCAGTGTTCCCTTGGGCAGGACAGCAGTCACTGAGCCACCTGCATCAGAGGATGGGAGATGAGAGACAGGATCCTCTGGCTAGCTGTATCCTTCCCCAGCCTCTGGGGCACGCTCGTGCAGAGGAGCCAGGCCAGGCCAGGCCAGCACACAAGCATCTGAGTGGCTGGCCCCTTTGCCCCACTATAGACAAGTTAGCAGGATCTTTCCATGAGTATAGATAAAGATTAAGAGCAATGGACCCTGGAAGTCTTTGAAATATGCCATGTGCCAAGACTCAAAACTATAAATTGTTCTGCCAAAGGCATCTGAAAATGTCAAAGTCCTAGGATGTTGAGCCAAGTATTAAGGAAGATGATCTGAGAAGGAGCTGGATATTAGAGAGAGCTCCACTATTCAGCATGATCTTGATAACCTGCCACAGAATCGACCTGACTTCATCCCCTCCTGCCTTGTTTCCTCCCTCCATCCCTGTGGCATGGTCTGCACTGTCTAAGCTGATCTGGAACACCCACTCAACAAAAAGCTATCCCTAAGCATCTTTAGACAACCTATAAAAGCGAATTAAACTTGGCATCTCTAAAACTCTGCATTGCCAAGTATCAACTTTTATTACACTCAACTCTTGGTTATGAGAGGGGAGGAGGGAAATGCAAAGAATCACAAATAAGACTATTGTTTAAGATGCATCCTATTTAGGCCAATAACAAATTTTTGTTGCTAGTTAGTGGCTACGTAGTAGTTGATGATTGGGAAACAGACAGCTCCAAATTGTTCCAGATGCCAAGAGAAGGCCAGACTTTGTCATCAATAACTTAAAAATTAGATTGAGATACAGCTCCAGACGCGTTAAGCGCATTGGTCCTTTGGCATTTGTCAACTGCTTTACCTCCTTGTGCTAAAAATGCCATGCTCAGAACATCCACCAACAACAGTGTAGCTCAAATGCTAAAAAGATAACTAAAAAATATACTTTAGGAAAGTTAATGTTTTATAAATTGTAACAATCATTCCAGTTATCAAGAAAATATTGTTTCCAAGAAGCATTTTATAAGTTGGCACAACAGACCCATGGAATGGCCAGGAGGGAGTAGAAACCTTTCTAAGTGATTTATTGATTTACTATAATGTTTTCCACTGGAAAGATTAATGATATATTCCACTTTGCTGAAAATTACTTCTCTTTTGCTCCTGCAAAATAATCCTAGAGTTATTTTCTCTTTCGGACCCTAACAAAATTATATTTCTTACAGAAAGACTGAGAGAGCTACAGGCATCTAACTCTAAACGCAAAGTGTGATCTTTAAAGAAATACACTCACTTTTTTTTCTTTTTTTGAGAAACTGTTTAAAAATCCAGACTGTGAAAGGCTGCTTCTCAGTGAGAAAGGTCACTCTGAGTGCAGTGTCCACAACATTAACGAGAAATGACCCTTGTCATCACTCTCAGCATGGGAGACAGAAGAAACAAATGAAAAAACACACCCAAAAGATGGTTTCTAGAACAGACCACTTGGATAATAGATGAGACACTGTGCTCGTGGATCACATGGGCCTCCAGAGGCTTTGTTCCCACTGTGTATTATGGTATGCTGGGTGGCTTCATGTTGACAAAACTACGGGAACTTCAGGGTCTCAACCGGACCACCATCCCAAAGTGATGAAAATGTTGTCTAACTTCAAAGTTTAAGAATACTTCCTTAGTAACATGTTTCCAGTTTTAAAGTTGTATTTTCTTGATCACACTTCTTTCCCATGCAATCTTTTAGGGGAATAAATCAAGTGAAATATTTTTGTCCTATGATGGCCACACAATATTCCTCCCTGTTATGTAGCTGTTGGTGAGAAGGACTTCGGTAAGCACAATGAACTTTGTTCTTGCCACAGCAAAGAAAGAGTTAAATTCTAGACCCAGCTGATCCCCTGCCAGCAGGGATGTGGAGGAAAGAGTGGGTGCTCACTTTTCTCCCCATATTACCCAAATGCCTCTTTTATGCCCCATCCCCATCTTCTACACTCTCCTCTTTCTCGCTTTCTAAGGAGAAAAAATTGAAATTTAGAAACAAAGAATTCCGACACTCTGAAGTAATTCACGGGGCTTCACTCACTTTCAGGTCTTTCCTTTTCAGGGCAATAGTTTTTAGACTCAGCTGGTGATTAGGTCCTCTCTAGTTCTACCGCAGTCACTCTCACTAGGCCTCCTTGAAGGGGAGTGTCTGGTGAAATCAGACAGGAATAGTCCCAGCTCTGCTGCTCACTAGCAGAGTGGCACTGAGCAAGTTGCCTGGCCTCTTTACAGCCTTGGAGTGCCCATATGTAAAACAAGTATAAAAATCCCTACCTGGGTTTTGCTGTGAGGATTAGAGGTAATGCCTATGAAGGACTTAGCACAGTGGCTGGCACTCTTTGGTGTTCAAAGATAGGGTTTTTGTCTCTACTAAAAATACAAAAATTAGCTGGGTGTGGTGGCACATGCCTGTAATCCCAGCTACTTCAGGGGCTGAGGCAGGAGAATCGCTTGAACCTGGGAGACGGAGGTTGCAGTGAGCCAAGATCACACCACTGCACTCCAGCCTGGACAACAGAGCGAGACTTCCTCTCAAACAAAACAAAACAAAGATAGGGTTTTATTGTCATTATTACCCCAGCTGTTTTTCTGGTGTAGTCCTGATGAATTCATTTATTCAGTCCCACTCTCACCAACTGTGGCGGCCAAGATTAGTTAACTGCATGTGAACCCAGAATCTCCCCCAGACAGAAGGAGCAAACTTGGACCTAGGGATAAGCCATTTCTGATCAGGGTAGGGAGTGGGAAGTGCAAATAATAACAGTAACACTAACAATTATAATAGATTATGTTTTGTGGTTATTTACTGGTGCTTATGCATCATTATTATATCACCCCGAAATATTCTTTAAATTGCTGTTTTTGTCAAAATAGTCTAATATTGGTAAATTCATCTGGCTTGACCTAAATAATACTCAAACATAATTCTCTCATTCCATATCTCTCCAAACAACTCATCTCCAGGTAGTCCCATATCCTCCCAGCCATATGTGACTGCAATTCCCCAGATATGATGTGACTTCCCACAGATGTCTTCCAAAGCCCTTCCCTGTACCTGGTATATTCACTCCTACATTCCCTGGAAAATTCTATCCTCCCTCCCCTAGGAAACTATTACTTGTCCTTCAAGTGTCATCTCCCCAGGAAGACCTTCTCTGACTCTTCTACTACTCCCCTCTAGTAACACTAACACACACACACACACACACACACACATACAGGCTCCATTACACCATCACAGACCTTTACGGTAGGACCTCAATTGCACAGTAATTACTTGTTTATGCCTCTGCCTCCCCCCATTAGATTATGAGCACATGAAAGCAGAGATTGTTAGTTCACTTTGGCAGCCCCAGTGCCTAGCCTGGCACTTGGTTGTTAATAAGGCCTTGCTGAATGAAAGAATTAAATCATTAAAAATCGCAAGATTAATTAAGAGTGTGGTTTTATGATTGACCCATTGTGGCATAACTCTTAGTGTAATACAGTATTTAACATTGTGCCTTGAATATAGCACGTGTTCCATAAATGTTTGTGAACTGAATGAATGAAGGATGGCAGGTGAAAAATCTCTTAATTAGATCCAGAGGGTCCTCTTTATTTGTACAATCCAAATAAGAAAGGCGTTCTCAGACACTGAAAGAAGCTATGCTGACATCTTTGTCTTACAAAAGACTCATCTGAATGATAATGAGTGTGGAAAATGGATTAGCTCCTGGGTGGACAGGGTTTTTTTTGTTGTTGTTTGTTTGTTATTTGCTTTTGGTTTTTGTCTCAGTGAAAAAGTAAAAATGCTTGAGTGCTCCATCACTTAGGGAGATTGAGCCCATCTTCTTTTCCATGATTTTTATTTTAGTGCTTATTTAATTAAGAAAATTAAATCATTTTTGTGGTACACGAATAAAATTGGTGAAAATTATGGTTACCAGTATTTTATTACTGTTGATTTTTATCGCTCTTATATATCTGTAAACCAGATAATGCCGGAGAAATTGATTGCCATCTGTTCTTAGACTCTAGGAATAGGGCATCATTATCTCTAGGAGTACTCTACTACTATGTGACCCAAATGTACTGGTAATCCAATTTTTTAAGATCAGTAAATGTTTTTAACCTATATTATATGCATTATTACATGATATGCTTCAGATAAAGCATGAATTACTTTTAAAACAAGTGATAAAGAGGGCCTAATTTACTGGTTCTGGCTCAGAAACCAGGTGTTTTAAGTGCATTGAGTTTCATGAATTAAAGAGTGTGTTTCCTCCTTTATCCAGAGCTGCTAAGGATTATTGAGACTCCAAGATTAAAGGCACATCATGAAACTAAAACAGGCATTTAAACTTCCTGTGCCAAAATGCTGCCTTTGTTTCCCATCTCTTTCCTGATTAATCTCAGGACCATTCTTCATTACTACTACCCAAAGGTTAAAAGACGATTAATAGTATCAACTTCAAAACTTTTGTGAGAATTAGAGCACATGTAACCTTGCTAGGACGGTGCCTGGCAAAGAGTAAATGTTTCATCAATGGTTGTTGTTGCTATTTTTTTATCATTATTTATTCACCATATTTTCATCCTTTAAACCAAAGCAGAGTTAGAGTTAGCAATATTAGTTGTGTTTTCCACTTGAGCTAAGGTTAATTCCTAGATGAATGCCAGTTGCTTTAATTTTCACTGATAGAATCTGCTTTCTGTATCGTTAACCTCCACACTTGAGTATTCAAGTTTTGTTTCATAGTGTTGCCTCCATGCTTTCTGTGATCGGTCTCTGCTATAAGTCCACTCAACATCATTAACCTTTCATCCTGATTATGAAAATGTGGTTTTCCAAACGTATTTGACTCTGATAACACATGGTCACAAAATTATTTACATTAAGGGTTGCAGCCTCACACAGCTCCAGAGAGTCCCATTCACTTGAAATCAACATGCATTAGTCATCTATTGCTGCCTAATAAATTATCACAAATTTAGCAGCTTAAAACAATACCTGTTTGTTATCTGACAGTTCCATAGGTCAGAAATCCTGGATGGTATGACTGGCACCTCAGCTCAGGGTATCACAGGCCTAAAAGCAATCTGTCAGCTGGCTGTGTTCTCTTCTGGAGCTTGGGATCATCTTCCAATCTCATTCCTGATGTTGGTAAAATTCAGTTCCTTGTGGTTGTAGAACTGAGGTGGCTGTTTCCTTGTTGGCTGTTAGCTGGGTTTGTCTCAGTTACTTGTAGCCACTCTGTGGTCCTTGTATGGAACCCCTCCAGCATCAAGGCCAACAACAGCACACTAAATCCTTCTCATGCTTCAAATTTCTCTGACTTCTCCTGCTTCCAGTCATAGAAAACTTTCTGCTTTAAAAGGGGTCAGCTAATTGAGTCAGGCCCACCTGGATAATCCCCATATTTTAAAGTTAACTGACTTTCAACCAGGCATGGTGGCTCACACATGTAATCCTAGTACTTTGGGAGGCTGAGACGGGCAGATCCCTTGAGGTCAGGAGTTCAAGCCCAGCCTTGGCAACATGGTGAAACCTCGTCTCTACTAGAAATACAAAAATTAGCCAGGAGTGGTGGCTCACGCCTGTAATCCCAGCTACTTGAGAGGCTGAGGCATGAGAATCACTTGAACCCAGGAGGCTGAGGTTGCAGTGAGCTGAGATCGCACTACTGCACTCCAGCCTGGGCAACAGAGACTCTGTCTTAATTAATTAATTAATACTTATTAATTTATTAATTAATTAAGTTAACTGACTTGGGACTTTACAGCAGTGCCTGTATTACTGTTTGAACAACCAACAGATAAGAATCTTGGGGGAGGGCATCTTTAGAGTGTTGCCTACCACATAATGTGAGTTTGGTGCGCTCCTGGTTCTGAGATGCTGGGTTTCACACACATTTTAAGGTTTTTAGATGCAAGGAACACAGGCTTGTTTAAGGAAAGTTAAATAGGATACACATGATACAAGAAGTGGTCTCACAGTTCCGAGTCCAGTGGGGCGGTGGGAGCGATGACAGTCTGAGATGGTAGGAGCAGTTGTGTGAAGATGGAGTCTCCCGGAGGAAATGACAATTACCTGACAATCACAGGGCCGTCACACCTCTTCCTGTCAGGGGCCGAGACATTCCATACACCAAGCTTAGGTGATGAAGAATTTGAAATCCCACCTATCTCTTTGGATTCTGATCCCTCATTGGCTGTCTCAGATGTGGTTGACCACTTTGATGACCTGGCAGACCCTTCCTCTTCACAGGATGGCAGTGCTTCAGCCCAGTATGGGGTCCAGACATTGGACATGCTCTGTGGGCATGACCCATGGCTTGATGGAGCAAGGTGGGGGCTCCTCAGTGGAGGCTTGATCATGGACTTAAACCACTCTATAGGAACTCAGTATAGTGCCAACCCACCTGTTACAATTGATGTACTAATGATAGACATGACATCTGACTTGATGGGGCATAGCCAGTTGACCACCACTGATCAGTCAGAACTGAGTTTCCAACTGGGTTTGAGCTTACGGGGTGGCACCATCCTGCCACCTGCCCAGTCACCTGAAGATCGTATTTCAACCACCCCTTCACCTACTAGTTCACTTCACGAGGTTGGTGTTGAGGATTTCTGGAGGCAAATTTCCAGCCAGAAGACAGTGGTGGTGGAAGCAGGGAAAAAGCAGAAGTTCCCAAAGAAGAGAAAAAAGAAAGATCCTAATGAACCTCAGAAACCAGTTTCAGCATATGCTTTATTCTTTCCTGATACACGGGCTGCCATCAAGGGACAGAATCCTAATGCCACTTTTGGTGAGGTTTCAAAAATTGTGGCCTCCATGTGGGATAGTCTTGGAGAGGAGCAAAAACAGATATATAAGAGGAAAACTGAGGCTGCCAAGAAAGAGTATCTGAAGACACTGGCTGCTTACGAAGACAACCAGGAGTGTCAGGCCACTGTGGAAACAGCGGAATTGGATCCAGCACCACCATCACAAACTCCTTCTCCACCTTCTATGGCTACTGTTGACCCAGCGTCTCCAGCACCAGCTTCAACAGAGCCCCCTGTCCTGTCCCCATCCATTGTTGTTAACTCCACCCTTTCATCCTATGTGGCAAACCAGGCATCTTCAGGAGCTGGGGGTCAGCCCAATATCACCAAGTTGATTATTACCAAACAAACGTTGCCCTCTTCCATTACTATGTCTCAGGGAGGGATGGTTACTGCTATCCTAGCCACAGTGGTGACCTCCTGGGGGCTCCAACTAGACCCAACCAGTACAGCCACTATCCAGCCCAGTCAACAAGCCCAGATTGTCACTCGGTCAGTGTTGCAGGCAGCAGCAGCAGCTGCTACTGTTGCTTCTATGCAACTGCCTCCACCCCGACTACAGCCCCCTCCATTATAACAGATGCCACAGCCCCTGACTCAGCAGCAAGTTACCATTCTGCAGCAGCCTCCTCCACTCCAGGCCATGCAACAGCCTCCACCTCAGAAAGTTTGAATCAATTTACAGCAACAGCTACCTCCTCTGCAGATCAAGAGTGTGCCTCCACTCACTTTGAAAATGCAGACTACCTTAGTCCCACCAACTGTGGAAAGTAGTCCTGAGCGGCCTATGAACAATAGTCCTGAGGCCCATACAGTGGAGGCAACTTCTCCTGAGACCATCTGTGAGATGATCACAGATGTAGTTCCTGAGGTTGAGTCTTCTTCTCAGATGGATGTTGAATTGGTGAGTGGGTCTCCTGTGGCACTGTCACCCCAGCCTCGATGTGTGATGTCTGGTTGTGAGAATCCTCCCATTGTGAGTAAGGACTGGGACAATGAATGCTGCAGCAATGAGTGTGTGGTGAAGCACTGCAGGGATGTATTCTTGGCCTGGGTAGCCTCTAGAAATTCAAACACAGTGGTGTTTGTGAAATAGTCCTTCCTGTTCTCCAAGCCAGTGAAGAGTTATCTGCTGGGAACATGTCTAAGAGCCTGTTTTGGAAACACAAGCTGGGCTTCTGGTAGTGCCTGATCACAGCCCATGATGTCCGTTCATGTTTCCCCCCTTTTCTCCCTTCAGCAGAGGCCAGGCTATGGAGCAGGGCCGCTGAACTTGCTGTAATCTGGAGATGCTTTTTACACAACCACAAGCAGAAATACCAGTGGTAATAGCAGAGGAAAGGGTGAAGGGAGTATGGGCAAGCAAAGTATAGAGATGGTAGGAGTGGTGGTGGGGTTGAAGAAACTTGTTGGTATAATTGTCATAGGACTTGCCTAAAATATTATTAAAATGACGGGAGTGTACTCAGCTTTGAGCCTAGGGAAAAAAAAAAAAAAAGTGGTTTCACATGAAAATCCAAGACCAGAAACAAACATGGAACCTCACAGCAGGAGCTAGTGAATCCTTGCTCTGGTGATTTGCCATTAACAAAATTTATGCAGTCTCCTTGATTGTATTCTTTCTATATTTCAAGTTTAAATTTCTAGAGTTCTGCTTTCATTTAGAATGTAAAACATCATAAGAGAAATGGCTCTCACCCTAGCAATTGGAAAAAAGACAGAAAACCCACAAACTTTTCATGAACCCACTGAAGAGCTCAGGTTATGGGGCAACCAAATAAATTAAATTCCAAAGAATTACAAGCCCCTTCAATGAGAGAGAGGACATGCAAACTCTTTTGCCATTGGCAGAGCATAGAAAAAAGAGACGGCCACCATATAAGCCAGTTAGAAGAAATCAGCTGAAAGTTTAGTAGATTCTTAAAAGTCAATTTTGGACTAAAGTATCGCTTGAAATAACTGACAGTCCAAGACACAAGAGGATTTTGCCCTAATTTACTAGCTCGTTTTCACTGCCCTCCACTAGAGGCTCATGAGAAAATCTAGAGATGAATAGGCATGCAGGAGGTCATCAGTGGTACAGGCACAGAGAAAATTTTCAGTTGCCCCTGGGGAAGAGATATGAACTCTACCCAGCTACATGGCTCCTTCTGTCACTGAAAGAAAAAGCCTGAAACTACTGGAGATAAGGCAAGAATTCTGTTGCTTCTAGTTGATGACTAGAAGCAAAGGCCCTCTGGCCCTGGGAAAAAGCAGGGAAAACTCTTGCCCTCAGGATCCTGCACTGGTATAAGGAGAAGTGCGCTACTTCTGGGAATAGGCGGGAGAACTGTTTTCTATCCATGGCCCAATGACCCACAGATCAGAGTTCAACAGACACTGGGAGAAAGGGTAGGCAAGAAACACTGATGAGGCTTCATTTCTGAGACCCAGGCATGCAAGTCTGCCTAAAATTGAAACTATGTTAGGAAAATAAAAATTCCCTCTTCCCACAATAAACCTAGTCCACAATAACAAGCAATAGTATTTTACCACTGAAGAAGGATAAAGAACATGGAAACAGACTCCCCCGCCACCACCATGGTATGGATATGAAAGGAGCAAAGAAAGCTGAGGATAGAGCAGGAACAATGAGAAAAAGAAAACAAAACAAAAATGAAAACCTCCACTATCTCAGGCCTGCCCCACTCTAATCACAAAGAAGCATCAGCCCACCACTGAAGAAATTCAGAGCTAGCACTGCAATGAAGATAATGAGAGCAACAATAAAACCCAAACCCAGTGTATGTCTGCCTACACTAACTCAATGCCCAACATAACAGCCAAGCAAAAGAAAATGCATGTCCTTTTCCAGGTGTAAATATTATTTGTCTCAGCTTCTGTCATTCTTCCACAAAGGATGTCCAGCATTCACTCAAATAATAGGAGACTTTAAGAGCATGCAAAAACAACCCATTGTCAAGAGATAAAGCAATTGACAGAACCAGACTCAGAGATGACCCAGATGTTGAGAGTATCAGACAGAGATTTTAAAATCACACTGATTCATTTTGAAATTTAATAGAAAATGTGGACAGCATGCATGAACAGACAGGAAGTTCAGTAAAGACACAGAAACTATTTTTAAAAGAGTCAAATGGGAATGCTTGAAATAAATAAACACACATACACACATAATACCAACAGTGAAGACTTCACTATATGTGCTTATCAGTAGGCTGAACACAGCTGAGAGAAGAATTGGTGAATTTGAAAATAGATCAGTACAAGGCAGAAAACTAACAAAGATATTCAGGGCCTGAACTCTACATTTGACCTAATGGGCCTAACAGACATCTATAGAACTCTCCAACTAAAAACAACAGAATATACATTCTTCTCACCTGCACATGGCACATGCTATAAAATTGACCACATAATCGCCATAAAACAACCCTCAGCAAACTAAAACAAAAAACCAAAATCATGCCAAACACACTCTTAGAACATGGTACAAAAAAAATAGGAATTAATTCTAAGAAAATAACTCAAAACTGTACAATTATATGGAAATAACTGATCTTCTACTGAATGACTTTTGGGTAAACAATGAAATTAAGGCAGAAATCATTAAATTCTTTGAAAGCAATTAGAACAAAGATACAACATACCAGAATCTCTGGGACACAGCTAAAACAGTAGTGTTAAGAGAGAAGTTAATAGCACTAAACACCCACATCAAAAAGTTAGGAAGACATGAAATTAACAACCTAACATCATACCTAGAGAAGCTAGAGAAACATGAGCAAACCAACTCCAAAGCTAGCAGAAGGCAAGACGTAACCAAAATGAGAGCTGAACTGAAGGAAATTGAGATGTGAAAAATCATACAAAAGATCAATGAATCCAGGGGTTTCTTATTTGAAAGGATAAATAAGATTCACAGACCACTAGCTAGACTAATAAAGAAAAAAGAGATGAGATCCAAATAAACACAATCAGAAATGAAAAAGGGGACATCACCACTGACCCCGCAGAAATACAAAACAAAAGTTCAGAAACTACTATGAACACCTCTATGCACACAAACTAGAAAACCTAGAAGAAATGGATAAGTTCCTGGAAACATACAACCTCCCAAGATTAAACCAGGAAAAAATTGAATCCCTGGACAGACCAATCATAAGTTCCAAAATTGAATCAGAAATAAAAGGCCTACCAACCAGAAAAAGCCCAGAACCACATGAATTCATACCCAAATTTTACCAGATGTATAAAGAAGACCAGATACTGTTCCTACTGAAACTATTCCAAAAAATTAAGGAGGAGGGATTCCTTCCTAACTCATTCTCTGAAACCGGCATCATCCTGATACCAAAACCTGGCAGAGACACAACAGCAAAAAGGAAAACTTCAGGCCAATACCCTTGATGAACATACATGCAAAAATCCTCAACAAAATACCAGCAAACTGAATGCAGCACCAGATCAAAACCTAAGCCCTCACAATCAAGTAGGGTTTATCCCTGGGATGCAAGCTTGGTTTAATGTATGTAAATCAATAAATATGATTCATTTCATAAACAGAACTAAAAACAAAAATTACATGATTATCTCAATCGATGCAGAAAAGGCTTTCAATAAAATTCAACATCCCTTCAAGTTAAAAACCCTCAACAAACTAGGCATTGAAGGAACATACATTAAAATAGTAAAAGCTATCTATGGCAAACCCACAGCCAATATCATACTGAATGGGTAAAAGCTAAAAGCATTCCTCTTGAGAACTGGAATGAGACAAGGATGCCCACTCTCACCACTCCTATTTAACATAGTACTAGAAGTCCTAGCCGAAGTAATCTGGCAAGAGAAAGAAAAAGAAGGCATCCAAATAGAAAGAGAGGAAGTCAAAAAAAATCTATGTTTGGAGACAGTATGCATCTATACATAGAAAATCCCATAGTCTGTGCCCAAATGCTCCTAGATCTAATAAACAACTTCAGCAAAGTTTCAGGATACAAAATCGATGTACAAAAATCTGTAGCATTTTATACACCAACAACGTCCAAGATGAGAGACGAATCAGTAACACAATCCCATCCACAATAGCCACAAAAAGAATGAAATACCTAGGAATACAGCTAACCAGGGAGGTCAAAGTTCTCTAC
Source organism: Homo sapiens (assembly GCF_000001405.40). Classification (NCBI taxonomy): domain Eukaryota; kingdom Metazoa; phylum Chordata; class Mammalia; order Primates; family Hominidae; genus Homo; species Homo sapiens. The sequence goes on from NC_000004.12 coordinate 112,461,841, forward strand.
AACGAGAATTACAAAACACTACTGAAAGAAATCAGAGAAGACACAAACAAATGGAAAAATATTCCATGGTCATGGATAGGAAGACTCAATATTGTTAAAATGGCAATATTGCCCAAAGCAATTTACAGATTCGATACTATTCCTATCAAACTACTAGTGACATTCTTGACATAACTGGAAAAAACTATTTTAAAATTCATGTGGAACCAAAAGAGAGCTCAAATAGCAAAGGCAATTCTAAACAAAAAGAAAAAGAGTGGAGGCATCACATTACCTGCCTTCAAACTATACTACAAGGCTACAGTAACCAAAACAGCATGGTACTGATATAAAAACAGACACATAGAACAATGGAATAGAAAAGAAAACCTAGAAATAAAGCTGCACCCCTACAACCGTTTGGTCTTCAACAAAGTTTACAAAAACAAGCAATGAAGAAAAATTACTGATATCTGTATCCCCACCCAAATCTGGCTCTGTATCCCCACCCAAATCTCACTTTGAATTGCAATAATCCCCACGTGTCAAGGGCAGGACAGGTGGAGATAATTGAATCACGAGGTGGTTTCCCTCATGCTGTTCTCCTGATAGTGACTGAGTTCTCACAAGATCTGATGGTTTTATAAGGGGCTTTGCCCTTTGCTGTGCACTCATTTTTTCTTTGGCTGCCCTGTGAAGAGGTGCCTTCTGCCATGATTGTAAGTTTCCTGAGGCCTCCCCAGCCATGCTGAACCATGAGTCAGTTAAACCTCTTTTCTTTGTAAATTACCTAGTTTCAAGTATGTCTTTATTAGCAGCATGAGAAAAAACTAATACAACTCCCAATTCAATAAATGATGCTGAGAAAACTTGTTAGCCATATGCAGAAGGTTGAAGCTGGACCCCTTTCTTACACCATACAAAATTCAACTCAAGATGGATTAAAGACTTAAATGTAAAACCTAAAACTATAAAAAAAAAAAAAAAACCTGCTAGATAACCTAGAAAATACCATTCTGGACATCAGCCTCGGCAAAGATTTCATGACAAAGACTCCAAAAGTAACTGCAACAAAAACAAAAAATTACAAATGGGACCAAATCAAACTAAAGAGCTTTGGCACAGCAAAAGAAACTATCAACGGAGTAAACAACCTACAAAGTGGAAGAATATATTTGCAAACTATGCTTCTGATAAAGGTCTAATATCCAGAATCTATAAAGAACTTAAACAAATTTACCAGTTGTTAAAAAAACAAACAACCCCATTAAAAAGTGGGCAAGGGACATGAACAGACACTTTTCAAAATAAGACATACATGTGGTCAACAAACATATAAAAAAATGCTCAACATCACTAATTGTTAGAGAAATGTAAATCAAAACCACAATGAGATACTGTTAGATGGTGTAAGATACCAGTCACAATAGCTATTATTAAAAAGTAAAAAAACATGACAGATGCTGGAAAGGTTCCAGAGAAACGGGAATGTTTATACACTGCTGGTGGGAATGTAAGTCAGTTCAGCCGTTGAGAAAAGCAGTGTGGTAATTTCTCAAAGATCTTAAAAAGAAGTACCATTTGAACCAGCAATTCCATTATTGGGTATATACCCCCCAAAAATATAAATTGTTCTACCATAAAGACACATGTACATATATACTCATCCCATATATGTCCACAATACATATATATGTTCATATATATATATATATATATATATATATATATATATATATATATATGTTCACATGTACATATATGCTCATCGCAGTACTGCTCACAATAGCAAAGACATGAAGCCAACTTAGGTGCCCATCAGTGGTGGATTAAAGAAAATACATGTATACCATGGAATACTATACAGCCATAAAAAAGAATGAGATCGTGTTCTTTGCAGCTACATGGATGGAGCTGGGGGCCATGATCCCAAGTGAACTAATGCAGGAAGAGAAAACCAAATACCCCATATTCTCACTCCTAAGTGAGAGCTAAATATTGAGTACACATGGACACACAGAAGGGAACAACAGACATGGGACCTACTTGAGGGTGGAAGGTGGGAGGAGGGATTACCTATTGGATACTATGCCTATTACCTGGCTGATGAAATAATCTATACACCAAACCCCTGCGACATGCAACTTATTTATATAACAAACCTGCACACATACCTCTGAACCTAAAATAAGTTTTTTTAAATGAATATGACCTTAGGATGTCTTCTTTATTATACTTTAAATTCTAGGATACATGTTAGGATGGCTTTTACAACACAAAAGAATATACTCATTTTGTCCAAACACGGTAGTATTTTAATGACATGTTGAGCATTTTTATTTTGTTCATTTTTTATTAATTCTTCTTAGCATTAGAAAGAGTCTTTTGTTTCTTTCCTTTATTTTGTTCACCAGTCTATATATTTTTTAATTTGTTGTATTGCTTTTCATTTCTCAACTGAAAAGTAACTACCATGGAAATGAAATTATATCTGTTCTGTACAAGGTTGTAATCCTTATACAGAGGATGAAAGTTATAGTTCTTGCTATATGTTAGGTGCTCACTAAATATTTGTCAAATAAAAAAATAGATCAGTAAATATTATTTAAACTGGAATGTAAAGAGCCAAAAGAGTTTTAAAAAAGAATAAGAGCTGCCAAAAGCTGCATAGCAATATTAAAATAACTAAACATATGCAATTGGATTACCAGAAGAAGAAAAGATAGAGAATGAAACAGAGGAAATATTTAAAGAGATAAATTCTGAGAATTTTCCAAAATTAACAAAAGACAAAAATTCACAGATCTAACAAACCTAGAAAATCTCCCCAAAATATAAATATCAAAAGAAGCCACACCTAGACATAGCATAGTCAAACTGCTGAAACCAAATATTAAGACAAAATCTTCACAGTAGCCACACATGGAAACAGGGTAGCGTGGAGGAGATATAACTTACAGAGGAAAAAAGACAAAAATTACAAAAGACCTCTTGTCAGCAACTATAAATTAGGAGACAATGGCATGCTTTAAAGCACGAGGTGGGTGGAGGGGAGGGAGAGTTAACTGAATGTATTAGGGTTCCCTAGAGGGACAGAACTAAAATATATATATATATATATATGCAATGCTGTGTGGAAACCATGTGTATATATATATATATACACACACACATATATATGTACACATATATATACACACACACATATATATGTACACATATATATACACACACACATATATATGTACACGTATATACACACACACACACACACACATATAAAAGGGAGTTTCTTAAGTATTAACTTACATGATTACAAGGTCCCACAACAGGCCGTCTGCAAGCTGAGGAGCAAGGGGAGCCTGTCGCAAAACTGAAGAACTTGGGTCCAATGTTTGAGGGCAGGAAGCATCCAACATGGGAGAAAAATGCAGGCTGGGAGGCTAGGCCAGTCTCTCCTTTTCACATTTTTCTGCCTGCTTTATATTCACTGGCAGCTGATTAGATTTTGCCCACCAGATTAAGGGTGGATCTGCTTTCCCCAGCCCACTGACTTTAAGGTTAATCTCTTTTGGTAACACCCTCACAGACACACCCAGGATCAATACTTTGTATCCTTCAATCCAAAGAAGTTGACACTCAGTATTAACCATCACAGGTCCACTCCTTGTCAACCTGAACCCATACACATCTCCTGAGATCATACATAATCTTCAAATAAAGGCAATAAATACAACTATCCTTCGTACAACCAGAAACGTACCAATCCCCAAACCAAATACTATTACATAAGGTTAACAATACTTAAATGCTGATATGAAAATCAATAAATCTTACGTCACATGATAAAGGAAAAAGAAACAAAATAAGGATTTTTTTAGTACATGCATATACATGCACAAACATGTTTTTGGCAAAAGGAGTAAATACTCATGACAATCACAGTCCCCATTTCTGCAGCTGGTCACGTGGTCATAGCTGGTATTGATGACAACCTTCTTCTACTGCCCATTCTGTATTCCCTTTGCTTTCAGCAAGCACCTCAGCAGGTTGTAGTTTTTTTCCTGGTGGAATGACCCAAACCTTCATTCCTGAGGGGTCTGGGCCATTTGTAGTCCTGCCTGGATTGGGCTGTTGTAGTTTCCCATTGACCTTAATCACAGGGCATAGTAATACTAAGAGATGCCCTAGTGGATCTCCTGCATTCCATGCATACTCTTCCTTACATCCATTGTGGAATAGTGGACTGATTTCATCTTGATAGTCCTCATCAATTACCCCAGCCAACACTGTAACTCTCTTCTTAGCCTGTTGACTTAAAGGTAGGAGGAGCCCAGAGTGTCCAGGTGGCCATCTTAACTTCCAGTTTAATGGAATTGTTGTTATGTCTCCTGGTGGCAGGATTCCTCCCTCTGGAAGTAAGACCTCTAGGCCAGCAGAATGTAATGTCACAGGAACAGGAAGCAAAAATTTTGCTAGTGGATCACTAGGGGTTTTGCTGAGTGGTGCCACTTTCACTTCCACCCCTTGATTCCTGGACCAATGAATTCTGGCTATGGGAGAAACAGTATCATATATTGAACACTGATTCAGAGCATACATGGCCTTGTGGAGAACTTTACCCCAGCCCTGTAAAGTACTGTCACCTAGTTGGCATTGTAACTGTGACTTCAAAAGGCCATTCCACTGTTCTATCAATCCGGCTGTTTCAGGGTGATGGGGAACGTGATAAGACCAGTGAATTCCATGAGCATGAGCCCACTGCCACACTGCTTTAGCCATAAAGTGAGTGCCTTGGTCAGAGGCAATGCTGTATGGAATACCATGATGGTGGATAAGGCATTCTGTGAGTCCATGGATGGTAGTCTTGGCAGAAACATTGTGTTCAGGATAGGAAAACCCATATCCAGGGTAAGCGTCTATCCCAGTGAGGACAAACCTCTGCCATTTCCATGATGGGAGAGGTCTAATATAATCAACCTGCCACCAGATAGATGGCTGATCACCCTGAGGAATGGTGCCATATCGAGGCTCAATGTTGGTCTCTGCTGCTGGCAAATTGGGCACTCAACAGTGGCTGTAGCCAAGTCAGCCTTGGTGAGTGGAAGCCCATGTTGCTGAGCCCATGCATAACCTCCATCCCTGCCACCATGGCCACTTCTTTCATGGGCCCATTGGGCAATGACAGGGGTGGCTGGGGAAAGAGGCTGAGTGGTGTCCACAGAACGGGTCATCCTATCCACTTGATTATTAAAATCCTCCTCTGCTGAGGTCACCTGTTGGCAAGCATTCACATGGGATAAAAATATCTTCACAGTTTTTGACTACTCAGAAAGGTCCATCCATGTACCTCTTCCCCAAATTTCTTTGTCATCAATTTTTTAATCATGCTTCTTCCAAGTCCCTGACCATCCAGCCAAACCATTGGCTACAGCCCATGAATCAGTATATTATTGCACATCTAGCCATTTCTCCTTCCATGCAAAGTGCACAACCAGGTGCACTGCTCGAAGTTCAACCCACTGGGACGATTTCCCTTCACTGCTGTCCTTCAGGGATGTCCTAGAATGAGGCTGTAATGCTGCAGCTGTCCTCTTTCCGGTGTTGCCTGCATATCGTGCAGAACCATCTGTGAAGCAGGCCCTAGTCTTCTCTTCCTCTGTCAGCTGATCATAGGGAACTCACCATGAGGCCATTGGTGCAGGGTGGGGAAGAGAAGGCAGGAGCGGAGACCACAGGCATTTGAGCCACTTCTTCATGTAACTTACTTGTGCCTTCAGGACCTGCTCAAGCCCGATCATGTATATGCTACTTCCATTTGATGATGGAATGCTGCTGTGAACAACCCACTTTATGGCTAGGTGGATCAGAAAGCATCCAGTTCATGATAGGCAGTTCAGGTTGCATGGTGACTTGATGACCCATAGTCAAACGTTCGGTTTTCACCAAAGCCCAGTAACAGGCCAAAAGCTGTCTCTCAAAAGGAGAGTAGTTATCTGCAGAAGATGGCAGGGCCTTGCTCCAAAATCCTAGAGGCCTCCACTGTGATTCACCTATGGGGTCCTACCAAAGGCTCCAAACAGCATCCCTATCTGCCACTGCCACCTCAACCGCCATTGGATATGCTGGGTTGTATGGCCCAAGTGGCAGAGCAGCTTGCACAGCAGCCTGGACCTGTTGCAGAGCCTTCTCTTGTTCTGGACCCCACTCAAAACTGGCAGCCTTTTGGGTTGCTCAATAAATGGGTTGGAGTAACACATCCAAATGAAAAATGTGTTGCCTCAAAAATCCAAATAGGCCCACTAGGCATTGTGCCTCTTTCTTGGTTGTATGAGGGCCAAATGCAGCAACTTATCCTTCACCTTAGAAAGAATATTTTGACAGGCCCACACCAATGGACCCCACAACACTGGACCCCCTTTTATTGAGGTAGAAGTTTCCTGAATTTTAGTTGGATTTATTTCCCATCTTCTGACTGCAATGTCTCACCAATAAGTCCAGTGTATTTGCTACTTCTTGCTCACTGGATCCAATCAGCATAATGTCATCAATGTAAAGAACTAGAGTGATATCTTGTGGAAGCAAAAAGTGATCAAGGTCTCTCTGAATAAAATTATGATAGAAAGCAGGAGAGTTGATATACCCCTGAGGTAGGATAGTAAAGGTATATTGCTGGCTTTGCCAGCTGAAGGCAAATTGCTTCTGGTGGGTCTTATGGACAGGAATGGAGAAAAAGACATTTGCCAAGTCAGTGGCTGCATACCAGGTACCAGGAGATGTGTTAATTTGCTCAAGCAATGAAACCACATCTGGTACAGCAGCTGCAATTGGAGTTGCCTCTTGGTTAAGCTTATGATAATCCACTGTCATTCTCCAAGATCCATCTGTCTTCTGCACAGGCCAAATGGGAGAGTTGAACCGGAATGTGGTGGGAATCACCACCCCTGCGTCTTTCAAGTCCTTGATAGTGGCGCTAATTTCCACAATCCCTCCAGGGATGCAATATTGTTTTTGATTTACTATTTTTCTAGGTAGAGGCAGCTTTAGTGGCCTCCATTTGGCCTTTTCCACCATAATAGCCCTCACCCTACCAGTCAGGGAGCCAGTGTGGGGATTCTGCCGGCTGTTAAGAATGTCTATGCCAATTTTGCATTCTGGCAGTGGGGTTATGACCACAGGATGAGTCCAGGCATCCACTGGACCCACAGTAAGTTGGACCTGAACTAGAATTCTATTAATTACCTGACCTCCATAAGCCCCTACTTTAACTGGAGGACCACAGTGACGTTTTGGATGACGTTATACATAGTACCTTTGACCATATGTGGAGAACCAAGGAACATAGTGAAGCTGGTTGGCTGCTCCTAAGTTCAGTGGACAAAGTGATGAAAAAAATGATGAACTCAGGGATTCTGTCTCCTGGCTTCAGAAGCAGATACTGAGACTCAAATCTACTAAGATTGCCCTGAGTGAGAGTCTTATCTCCTGTAGAGAAAGAGCTGAAATTGTAGAAAAACAGACACAAGCTCTTATCATTTGAATGGCTGACTTTTGTATAATGAACGTGTATCCTTTGCTTTTACTAAATTAAATTATTAGTTCTAGTAGCTTTTTGTAGATTCCTTAAAATTTTACATAGAGATAATCATGTTTTCAGTGAATTAGTTTCACTTCTTTTTTCCTGTCTTTAGCCCTTTATTTACATTAGGTTGGTGCAAAAGTAAATGCAGTTATTGCCATTACTTTTAATTACTCTTAATGGCAAAACCTGCAATTATTTTTGCACCATCCTAATATTTCTTGCCGTATAGCACTGGCTAGGAACTCCAATACAACATTGAATAGAAGTGATGAGAGAAAACATCCCCGCTTTATTCCAAATATTAGAGGGAAATCATACAGTCTTTCACCAATAAATATAATAACTGTAGTATTTTTGTAGATACCCTTTATCTGATTGCCAAAATAATTTTCTTCTACTCCTTGTTTGCTGGGAACATTTATAATGAATTAATGTTGACTTTTATCAAATTATTATTTAATGCCCATTGTGATCAAGTAAATTTTCTTTTTTAGTTTGTTAATATGATTAATTATATTAGTTAATATTTAAATATTGAACCAACTTTGCACTCTTGGAATAAAACTTATTTTGTCCTGAAGATTTTATATATGTATTATTGGATTCAATTTACCAAAATCTTGGTAAGCTGTTTTCAGTCAATATTTAACGGAAGTATTTGTCCTTTTATTTAATTATCTGTTTGATAAATGCAATATATTAAAAAATAACTCTTTAATAACTATTTCTTTTATTGTAATGCCTTTGTCTTCTTTTGTTATCAGAATAATCCTAGCCTCTGTAGTTACCAAAACAGTATGATACTGATATGAGAGTAGGCACATAGACCAATGGAATGGAATAGAGAACCCAGAAATAAAGTCAAATATGTACAGCCAACTAATCTTCAACAAAGCATACAAAAACATAAATTGGGGAATGGACATCCTATTTAGCAAATGTTACTGGGAAAACTGGCAAGCCACATGAAGAAAAATGAAACTGGATCCTACCTCTTGCCTTATCTAAAAATCAACTCAAGATGGATCAAAGACTTAAATATAAGACTTGAAGCTATAAAAATTCTAGAAGACAACATTGAAAAAATTCTTCTAGACATCAGCCTAGGGAAAGACTTCACGACTAAGACCCCAAAAGCAAATGTGACAAAAATAAAAATAAATAAATGGGACCTAATGAAACTAAAAAGCTTCTCTACAGCAAAAGAAATAATCGGCAGAGTAAACAGACAACCCACAGAATGGGAGAAAATACTTGTAAACTATGCATATAACAAAGGACTTATATCCAGAATCCATAAGAAACTCAAACAAATCTGCAAGAAAAAACAAATAATCCCATTAAAAAGTGGGCAAAGGACATGATTAGGCATTTCTCAAAAGAAAATATACAAATGGCCAACAAACATATGAAAAAAATGCTTAGTATCACTAATCATCAGAGAAATTCAAATTAAAATAACAATGAGATACCACCTTACTCCTGCAAGAATGGCCATTACTGAAAAGCAAAAAAAGCAATAGATGTTGGTATGGATATGGGAAAAAGGGAAAGTTTATACAGTTCTGGTAAGAATGTAAATTAGTGCAACCTCTATAGAGAACACTACGGAGATTCCCTAAAGAACTAAAAGTTGAACTACCATTTGACAGAAATCCCACTACTGGGTATCTAGCCAAAGGAAAAGAAGTAATTATATGAAAAAGATACTTGCACACATATGTTTATAGCAACACAATTCACAATTGCAAAGATGTGGAACCACCCTAAACGCCCATCAACTAAGGAGTGAATAAATAAAATGTAGTATATATATACACCATGAAATACTACTCAGCCATTAAAAGAAATGGAATAATGTCTCTTGCAGCAACTTAGATGGCGCTGGAGGCCATTAACCTAAGTGAAGTAACACAGGAGTGAAAAACCAAAAACAATATTTCTCACTTATAAGTGGGAGCTAAGCTATGAGTATGCAAAAGCATAGAGAGTGATATAATAGACTTCAGAGACTCAGAAGGCAGAAGGCAGGGGGCTAGGGATAAAAAACTACACACTAGGTACAATGTACACTACTCGAGTAATGTGCTCTAAAATCTCAGAATTTACCACTGTGTAATTTATCCATGTAACAAAAATCCACTTGTATCTCAAAATCTATTAAAGTAAAAAAATTTGCCAGGCACGGTGGCTCATGCCTGTAATCCCAGCACTTTGGGAGGCCAAGGAGGGTGGATCACCTGAGGTCAGGAGTTCAAGACCAGCCTGGCCAATATGGTGAAACCCTGTCTCTACTAAAAATACAAAAATTAGCTAGGTGTGGTGGCGGGCGCCTGTAATCCCAGCTACTCAGGAGGCTGAGGCAGGAGAATCTTTTGAACCCGGGAGGCAAAGGTTGCAGTGAGCCGAGATCGTGCCACTGTACTCCAGCCTGAGCAACAGAGTGAGACTCTGTCTCAAAAAAATCAACAAACAACAACAACAATAAATTTGTAAAAAAAAGAAATAATCCTAGCCTTACAAAATGAGTTGAGATAAATTTTATTCTCTTTTCTTTTTTGGGTATGTTTGTGTAGATTTAGTATTATTTTGTTTTCTTAAATGTTTGGAAGAACTCATGAGTAAAACCAACTGCCTGAAGCTTTTTTGTTGTTGTGCTGTTTGTTTGTTTATTGTTTTGTATATTTGTGTGGGAAGGTTTTTAAATACACATTTAGTATCTTTAAGAGATATATGACTACTTCGATTATCCATATCTTTTTTAGTTAACTTATTGTAAATTTTGTCTAATTTGTCAAATTTATTGGTATGAAGTTGCTCATAACTGTCCCCTACTTTTTTATGTCTATAGGATTTTAGGAATGTCCAGTCTCACATTCTTGATATTGGCAATTTCTGTCTTCTCAGTTTTGCTCATCAGTGTGATGCAAAGTTTAGGAATTAATTGTCTCAAAATAAAAATTTTTTGCTCTTTTGTTATGTTAATTATTTTCTGTTTTATTTTCTGTTTTCTATTTCATTGATTTTGTCTCTCATTACTTCTTTCTGCTTAGTTGGGGTATAATCATAAAGTGATGATGCTCATTTTTTTCCTTCTTTCTGCTTAGTTGGGGTATAATCATAAAATGATTAGGTCATTGATTTTAAATGTTTTTCTTCTTTTAGGTAGTTTGTAATGCTATGAATTTTCTTCTAATCAACTTTTAGCCATATATCACACATTTTGATATGCTATAATTCAGCTCAACCCATTTTCCTCTTGGACCATTGACTTTTTATGTCTGTTGTTAATTCTCAAATAGTTAGGGATTTTCCAAATATCTTTCTGTGACTGATTTCTAATAAAATTTTGTTGTGGTAGAAGAATATACATTAAATTATTTCAATTTTTTAATTTATTGAGACTTGTTTTAGGAACCAAAATATGATCTATTTTGGTAAATGTGTCTTGAGTACTGGAAAAGAATATGTATTCTGCTGTTGTTGGTTGGAGTGTTCTAGAAATGTTAACTAAATTTAATTGGTAGTGATTTCCAAGTATTCTATATCCTTAGTGACTTCCAATCTTTTTCTATTAAATATTAAAATAGGGGTATTGAAATCTCCATTGTGGCTATGTCTACTCCTATCAGTTATTGCTTTGAAACTCTCTTAAGAGTATATATTTAGAACGTTATATCCCCTTGATGAATTGACCCATTTATCAATATGAAATGGCCCTCATCTCTCTTTAATATTCTTTGCTCTGAAATATACTTATTAATATGTATTGATCATTCTTTTTCTTTTTTTCTTTTTTTTGGAGACAGAGTCTTGCCCTGTTGCCCAGGATGGAGTGCAGTGGTGAGTTCTCAGCTCACTGCAACCCCCACGTCTCAGGATTAAGCGATTCTCATGCCTCAGCCTCCTGAATAGATGGGACTATAGGCACCCGCCACCTTGCCTGGCTAATTTTTTGTATTTTCGTAAAGACGAGGTTTTACCTTGTTGCCCAGGGTGATTTCAAACTCCTGAGCTCAGGCAATCTGCCCAACTTGGCCTCTCAAAGTGGTAGGATTACAGGCATAAGCGACTGCACCTGGCCAATTTTCTGTATTTCTGATGCTCTGACATGTGGGCCTTGCTGACACTGGAAAGACTGCCCCTCCCAGGGATAGCCAATTCCTAGAGGAATTATGTGAACAATTCAAATACAAACCAACAAATCCAGATCCCCTAACCTCACCCATCTCCTTTTGTGGTCTTCACATGCACAGTCACTATTCCCCTCACCTAATCACCCCAGTGTCAGGTACCAGACAACAAGAGACAGCCCCCCTTTTATCCTAGAGCCCATTGAAATTATTCAAACCAGCCAAAATCCTAAGCCTGCTTATACTGCCTTGCTTTGCCTCTCCAGTAAGAACCACTAAAAGGCACTTGCCCATGCGTCCCCCTCACTCCTTCTGTCTCCTGACCAACCCGGTGCTCCTTCACATGCCCTTGTTGTTTGGCATGCCCTTCCTCTTGGGAACTATGAATAGCAAAGTATCATTTCAATGGCAATCATCTCCTAATTTGTTAGACTCAACACACCAGGACAATAATAAAATCTACATCTTAAAACAATGTATAACTATGTTAATATAGCCACTTCAAATTTATTTTGATTGTATCCACAGACCACATCTTTTTCTAACTTTTTACTTTTGTTACTTTTATCTTTATATTCAAAGTAGGCAGCATGCAGTTGGATTTTGCTTTTTTATCTAATGTGACAATTTCTGCCTTTTAACTGAGCTATTTAGACCATTTACATTTACTGGAATTGTCAATAAAGTTGTATTTAAATCTACCACTGTTTTATGTGGGGTGTTGTTTTTGTCGTTGTTGTTGCATGAGTTCTTTGTTTCTTTACTTCGTTCCTTAGCATCTTTTCTATTAATCATGTTTTTATTAATTCTACTTTATCTTCTTTGTTGCTCTGTTAGCTATTCTTTGTTTTTTCAAGCAATTGCTTTAAGGTTGATATTATACATGGCCTACCTTCAAGTAATATACTATTTCACCTATTGTATAAAAACTTTAAAAGAATATACTTTGTTTTCTTCCTCCTACACCTGACCTTTATGCTGTCATTGTCATATATGTTACTTCCATGTATAAATTCATAATGTATTCTTATTATTTTGCCTTAAATAGTCAATATCCTTTAAAAATCTTTTTATTATACTTTAAGTTCTAGGATACATGTGCACAACGTGCAGGTTTGTTACATATGTGTACATGTGCCATGTTGGTGTGCTGCACCCATTAACTCGTCATTTACATTAGGTATATCTCCTAACACAATCCCTCCCACCTCCTCCCACCCCAGGACAGGCCCCGGTGTGTGATGTTCCCCTTCCTGTGTCCAAGTGTTCTCATTGTTCAATTCCCACCTATGAGTGAGAACATGCAGTGTTTGGTTTTTTGTCCTTGCGATAGTTTGCTGAGAATGATGGTTTCCAGCTTCATCCATGTCCCTACAAAGGACATGAACTCATCATTTTTTATGGCTGCATAGTATTCCATGGTGTATATGTGCCACATTTTCTTAATCCAGTCTATCACTGATGGACATTTGGGTTGGTTCCAAGTCTTTGCTATTGTGAATAGTGCCGCAGTAAACATACGTGTGCATGTGTCTTTATAGCAGCATGTTTTATAATCCTTTGGGTATATACCCAGTAATGGGATGGCTGGGTCAAATGGTATTTCTAGTTCTAGATCCCTGAGGAATCGCCACACTGACTTCCACAATGGTTGAACTAGTTTACAGTCCCACCAACAGTGTAAAAGTGTTCCTATTTCTCCACATCCTCTCCAGCACCTGTTGTTTCCTGACTTTTTTAGTGATCGCCATTCTTACTGGTGTGAGATGGTATCTCATTGTGGTTTTGTTTTGCATTTCTCTGATGGCCAGTGATGATGAGCATTTTTTCATGTGTCTGTTGGCTGCATAAATGTCTTCTTTTGAGAAGTGTCTTTTCATATCCTTTGCCCACTTTTTGATGGGGTTGTTTGTTTTTTTCCTGTAAATTTGTTTGAGTTCTGTGTAGATTCTGGATATTAGCCTCTTGGCAAATGAGTGGATTACAAAAATTTGCTCCCATTCTGTAGGTTGCCTGTTCACTCTGATGGTACTTTCTTTTGCTGTGCAGAAGCTCTTTAATTTAATTAGATCCCACTTGTCAATTTTGGCTTTTGTTGCCATTGCTTTTGGTGTTTTAGACATGAAGTCCTTGCCCATGCCTATGTCCTGAATGGTATTGCCTAGGTTTTCTTCTAGGGTTTTTAAGGCTTTAGGTCTAACATTTAAGTCTTTGATCCATCTTGAATTAATTTTGTATAAGGGGTAAGGAAGGGATCTAGTTTCAGCTTTCTACATATGGCTAGCCAGTTTTCCCAGCACCATTTATTCAATAGGGAATCCTTTCCCATTGCTTGTTTTTCTCAGGTTTGTCAAAGACCAGATGGTATAGTTGTGTGGTATTATTTCTGAGGGCTCTGTTCTGTTCCATTAGTCTATATCTCTGTTTTGGTACCAGTACCATGCTGTTTTGGTTACTGTAGCCTTGTAGTATATTTTGAAGTCAGGTAGCGTGATGCCTCCAGCTTTGTTCTTTTGGCTTAGGATTGATTTGGCAATGTGGGCTCTTTTTTGGTTCCATATGAAGTTTAAAGTAGTTTTTTCCAATTCTGTGAAGAAAGGCATTGGTAGCTTTATGGGGATGGCATTGAATCTATAAATCACCTTGGGCAGTATGGCCATTTTCACGATATTGATTCTTCCTACCCATGAGCATGGAATATTCTTCCATTTGTTTGTATCCTCTTTTATTTCATTGAGCAGTGGTTTGTAGTTCTCCTTGAAGAGGTCCTTCACGTCCATTGTAAGTCGGATTCCTAGGTATTTTATGCTCTTTGAAGCAATTGTGAATGGGAGTTCACTCATGATTTGGCTGTCTGTTTGTCTGTTATTGGTGTATAAGAATGCTTATGATTTTTGCACATTGATTTTGTATCCTGAGACTTTGCTGAAGTTGCTTATCAGCGTAAGGAGATTTTGGGCTGAGTTGATGGGGTTTTCTAAATATACAATCATGTCATCTGCAAACAGGGACAATTTGACTTCCTCTTTTCCTAATTGAATACCCTTTATTTCTTTCTCCTGCCTGATTGACCTGGCCAGAACTTCCAACACTATGTTGAATAGGAGTGGTGAGAGAGGGCATCCCTGTCTTGTGCCAGTTTTCAAAGGAAATGCTTCCAGTTTTTTCCCATTCAGTATGATATTGGCTGTGGGTTTGTCATAAATAGCTCTTATTTTGAGATACATCCCATCAATACCTAATTAATTGAGAGTTTTTAACATGAAGAGCTGTTGAATTTTGTCAAAGGCCTTTTCTGCATCTATTGAGATATTCATGTGGTTTTTGTCTTTGGTTCTGTTTATATGCTGGATTACGTTTACTGCTTTGCATATGTTGAACCAGCCTTGCATCCCAGGGATGAAGCCCACTTGATCATGGTGGATAAGCTTTTTGATGCGCTGCTGGATTCGGTTTGCCAGTATTTTATTGAAGATTTTTGCAACGATGTTCATCAGGGATATTGGTCTAAAATTCTCTTTTTCTGTTGTGTCTCTGCCAGGCTTTGGTATCAGGATGATGCTGGCCTCATAAAATGAATTAGGGAGGATTCCCTCTTTTTCTATTCATTGGAATTGTTTCAGAAGGAATGGTACCAGCTCCTCTTTGGTAGAATTTGGCTGTGAATCCATCTGGTCCTGGACTTTTTTTGGTTGGTAAGCCATTAATTATTGCCTCAATTTCAGAGCCTGTTATTGGTCTATTCAAGGATTCAACTGATTCCTGGTTTAATCTTGGGAGGGTGTATGTGTCCAGGAATTTATCCGTTTCTTCTAGATTTTCTAGTTTATTTGTGTAGAGATGTTTATAGTATTCTCTGATGGTAGTTTGTATTTCTGTGGGATCGGTGGTCATATCCCCTTTATCATTTTTTATTGCATCTATTTGATTCTTCTCTCTTTTCTTCTTTATTAGTCTTGCTAGCAGTCTATCAATTTTGTTGATCCTTTCAAAAAACCAGCTCCTGGATCCATTGATTTTTGAAGGGTTTTTTGTGTCTCTATTTCCTTCAGTTCTGCTCTGATCTTAGTTATTTCTTGCCTTCTGCTAGCTTTTGAATGTGTTTGCTCTTGCTTCTCTAATTCGTTTAATTGTGATGTTAGGGTATCAATTTTAGATCTTTCCTGCTTTCTCTTGTGGGCATTTAGTACTATAAATTTCCCTCTACACACTGCTTTAAATGTGTCCCAGAGATTCTGGTATGTTGTGTCTTTGTTCTCGTTGGTTTCAAAGAACATCTTTATTTCTGCCTTCATTTTGTTATTTACCCAGTAGTCATTCAGGAGCAGGGTGTTCAGTTTCCATGTAGTTGAGCAGTTTTGAGAGAGTTTCTTAATCCTGAGTACTAGTACGATTGCACTGTGATCTGAGAGATAGTTTGTTATAATTTCTGTTCTTTTACATTTGCTGAGGAGTGCTTTACTTCCAACTCTGTGGTCAATTTTGGAATAAGTGCTATGTGATGTGCTGAGAAGAATGTATAGTCTGTTGATTTGGGGTGGAGAGTTGTGTAGAGGGTCTGCTTTGTGCAGAGCTGAGTTCAATTCCTGGATATCCTTTTTAACTTTCTGTCTCATTGAGCTGTCTAACGTTGACAGTGGGGTGTTACAGTCTCCCATTATTATTGTGTGGAAGTCTAAGTCTCTTTGTAGGTCTCTAAGGACTTGCTTTATGAATCTGGGTGCTCCTGTATTAGGTGCATATATATTTAGGATAGTTAGCTCTTCTTATTGAATTGATCTCTTTACCATTATGTAATGGCCTTCTTTGTCTCCTTTGATCTTTGTTGGTTTAAAGTCTGTTTTATCACAGACTCGGATTGCAACTCTTGCCTTTTTTTGTTTTCCATTTGCTTGGTAGATCTTCCTCCATCCCTTTATTTTGAGCCTATGTGTGTCTCTGCACATGAGATGGGTTTCCTGAATACAGCACACTGATAAGTCTTGACTCTTCACCCAATTTGCCAGTCTGTGTCTTTTAACTGGAGCATTTAGCCCATTTACATTTAAGGTTAATATTGTTATGTGTGAATTTGATCCTGTCATTATGATGTTAGCTGGTTATTTTGCTCATTAGTTGATGCAGTTTCTTCCTAGCATCAACGGTCTTTACAATTTGGCATGTTTTTGCAGTGGCTGGTACCGGTTGTTCCTTTCCATGTTTAGTGCTTCCTTCAGGAGCTCTTTTAGGGCAGGCCTGGTGGTGACAAAATCTCTCAGAATTTGCTTGTCTGTGAAGGATTTTATTTCTCCTTCACTTATGAAGCTTAGTTTGGCTGGATATGAAATTCTGGGTTGAAAATTTTTTTCTTTAAGAATGTTGAATATTGGCCCCCACTCTCTTCTGGCTTGTTGAGTTTCTGCCGAGAGATCCGCTGTTAGTCTGATGGGCTTCCCTTTGTGGGTAACCCAACCTTTCTCTTTGGCCGCCCTTAACATTTTTTCCTTCATTTCAACTTTGGTGAATCTGACAATTATGTGTCTTGGAGTTGCTCTTCTTGGGGATATCTTTGTGGTGTTCTCTGTATTTCCTGAATTTGAATGTTGGCCTGCCTTGCTAGATTGGGGAAGTTTTCCTGGATAATATCCTGCAGAGTGTTTTCCAACTTGGTTCCATTCTCCCTGTCACTTTCAGGTACACCAATCAGACATAGATTTGGTCTTTTCACATAGTCCCATATTTCTTGGAGGCTTGGTTCATTTCTTTCTACTCTTTTTTCTCTAAACTTCTCTTCTCGCTTCATTTCATTCATTTGATCTTCAATCACTGATACCCTTTCTTCCAGTTGATCGAATCAGCTACTGAAGCTTGTGCATTCGTCACGTAGTTCTCGTTCCATGTTTTTCAGCTCCATCAGGTCATTTAAGGACTTCTCTACACTGGTCATTCTAGTTAGCCATTCATCTAATCTTTTTTCAAGGTTTTTAGCTTCTTTGCGATGGGTTCGAACTTCCTCCTTTAGCTCGGAGAAGTTTGAGGTCTGAAGCCTCTCTCAACTCGTCAAAGTCATTCTCCGTCCAGCTTTGTTCCGTTGCTGGTGAGGATCTGTGTTCCTTTGGAGGGGGAGAGGTGCTCTGATTTTTAGAATTTTCAGCTTTTCTGCTCTGTTTTTTCCCCATATTTGTGGTTTTATCTACCTTTGGTCTTTGAAGATGGTGACGTACAGATAGGGTTTTCGTGTGGATGTCCTTTCTGTTTGTTAGTTTTCCTTTTAATAGTCAGGACCCTCAGCTGCAGGTCTGTTGGAGTTTGCTAGAGGTCTACTCCAGACCTGTTTGCCTGGGTATTAGCAGCAGAGGCTGCAGAACAGCGAATATCGCTGAACAGCAAATGTTGCTGCCTGATTGTTCCTCTGGAAGCTTCGTCTCAGAGGGGTACCCGGCCATGTGAGGTGTCAGTCTGCCCCTACTTGGGGGTGCCTCCCAGTTAGGCTACTCAGTGGTCAGTGGCCCACTTGAGGAGGCAGTCTGTCCATTCTCAGATCTCAAACTCCGTGGTAAGAGAACCACTACTCACATCAAAGCTGTCAGACAGGGACATTTAAGTCTGCAGTGGTTTCTGCTGCCTTTTGTTCAGCTATGCCCTGCCCCCAGAGGTGGAGTGTACAGAGGCAGGCCGGCCTCCTTTCGCTGCAGTTGGGTTCCACCCAGTTCGAGCTTCCTGCTACTTTGTTTACCTACTCAAGCCTCAGCAATGGTGGGCACCCCTCCCCCAGCCTCACTGTCACCTTGCAGTTCAATCTCAGACTGCTGTGCTAGCAACGAGCGAGGCTCCGTGGGCATGGGACCTTGCAAGCCATGTGCGGGATATAATCTCCTGGTGCGCCGTTTGCTAAGACCATCAGAAAAGCGCAGTATTAGGGTGGGAGTGACCTGACTTTCCAGGTGCCATCTGTCACAGCTTCCCTTGGCTAGGAAAAGGAATTCCGTGGCCTCTTGCACTTCCTGGGCGAGGCGATGCCTCGCCCTGCTTCGGCTCATGCTTGGTGGGCTGCACCCACTGTCTGACAAGCTCCAGTGAGATGAACCCGGTACCTCAGTTGGAAATGCAGAAATCAACTGTCTTCTGCGTTGCTCATGCTGGGAGCTGCACACTGGAGCTGTTCCTATTTGGCCATCTTGGAACCACCTAAAAATATTTTTTAAATAAAAGTATTTTATATTTTCCCAAGTGTTTATCATTTCTGGCACTCTTCATTTCTTTTTATAGATTCATATGTCCATCTTGTATCATTTTCATTCTGCCTTGAAAGGCTTTCTTTCGAGGAAGGAGTTATCTGCTGCCAATGAATTATCTTGGCTTTTAAATGTTTATATAAGTCCTTATTTGAATTTCATTTCTAAAGGATATTTTTGCTGGGTATAGAATTTTAGGTGGAGTTTTTTAAAATATGTCATTCCATATTAAAGATGTTTGGACGCATTATTTCTGAAGAGAAGTCTGTTGTCTTTCTCACTTTTGTTTCTCCAACTATTTTTTTCTCTCACTACTTAAAAACCTTATTATCTTTTATCACTGATTTTTAGAAATTTGATCATTTTGTATACCACAGCATACTTTTATATATATATATGTTTTTTTGCTTCAGATTTGTTGAACTACTGGGATGGTTGGTTTCATAGATTTCATCAAATTTATGGTCATTAGTGCTATAATATTTTTTCTTTCTCTCCATCTTTTATGTGGACTGCAAATCATACATGCTTGGTTTCCTGATATTGTCTTATCACTCACTATTACTGCTGCTTTTCTGTGTATTCGTTTCGAAAGTGTCTTCAAGTTTATTAATTGTTTTCTTCTATGCCATATCATCTGCTCTCTATCTTCCCTAGGCATTTTTTCCAGATACTGTATGTTTTACCACTTTAACTTTTATTTTGAATTTTTAATACATTTTATTTTTTTCTCCTCATGTTCATCCTTTCTTCTACCATCTTGAATTGTTATAACAGTTGTCTTAATGCCCTGTCTACCAATTTTATTTCAAATGTCATTCCTACATTTGTTCCTTTTGATAGATTTTTCTCTTCTTTGTGAGTAACATTTTTCTGCTTCTTTTAATTCCTGGTCATTTTTTAATAGATGCCAAATATTGAGTATTTTATGTTGTTTGGTGTTGGACTTTTTTTGTATTATTTTAAATATTTGGGGACTAAGTTTGTGGATGCAGTGAAGTTCCTTGAAATCTGTTTAATATGCTTGAGGCTTGCTTATAAGCTTTATTAGGTCAAATCCAAAACAGCTTTTAGTCTAGAGTTAATTTTCTCCCACTTTT
Organism: Homo sapiens; assembly: GCF_000001405.40. NCBI lineage: Eukaryota > Metazoa > Chordata > Mammalia > Primates > Hominidae > Homo > Homo sapiens. The sequence goes on from NC_000004.12 coordinate 112,481,849, forward strand.
GTGGGACTTTACTCAACATTCTATTTTTAGGATTTTTTTTTTCTTTTGGACACAAACTATTCCTAACTCTGTGTAAGCTCTGGGGGTTTTTCTGCCCACTCGTTTCTCGTGATATCTTCTCCTGCTTTGGTAGTTTCCACAAGTGCATGTGCAAATTAGTACTCAGCTAAAACCTCATGAGAACCCCCCTGCAGATCTTCTGACCTCTCTCCTTGAGCAGCTCCCCCTTCTGCCTCACATATTCTAGCTGCAGAGGCTTCCCCAAACTCCAAATTCTGTCTCTTCATTTTAGCTAGACCACCAGGCTCTGTTCATGCTCCTCCCCTCTCTGCTGTGTCCTTTCAAGTAGTAAACTAGGACAGTCATTGGGTACCTCTCATTGGTTTCTCTCCTCTTAGTGATTCTTGTCCTATGCTGCCTATTTTCCAAAGGCTGAAAACAACTGCTTCATATATTTTATACAGCTTTCTATTTGCTTATGGCCAGAGGGTAAATGTAGTACCTATTATTCCATCACGGTTAGAAGCAGAATATTCATGCACTGGTTTTTAAAAGCTTCTCCCTGAGAGTGACAAGGGTCACTGATATTGTCTTATAGCTCACTATTAATGTGACAAGTGTCACTTTCACTCATAATTTATAACCAAAGTAAGCCATTTGGCCAACAATTCTAAAGGTAAAAGAAGGTAAATTCTACTATATACTTAATAGAAAAACTGAGATATTTGCGAATGGAACTAATGACTTCCACTTTGCCTTAGACCATCCAGTATAAGATTTACTATAGAAGAAAACATCAGGGCTAGTCCCGTGAAATTTAGTCACATGCACCATAAGATTATTATTGCAATATTTCTCTTCGAACTCATACTTCTGTTTAGTATACTGATTACAGCTAAGGCTCCAAAGTAATTCAGGCTAAGGTGTAAATCCCCTTCTGCTAGTACCTGTCTGTGTGACACTGGATAAGCTAGTTAAACTTCCTTAGCTTCATTTTCTTCCCATATGAAATAAAAATAAAAATCAATGTACAAAAATCACAAGCATTCTTATACACCAATAACAGACAAACAGAGAGCCAAATCATGAGTGAACTCCCATTCACAATTGCTTCAAAGAGAATAAAATACCTAGGAATCCAACTTACAAGGGACGTGAAGGACCTCTTCAAGGAGAACTACAAACCACTGCTCAATGAAATAAAAGAGGATACAAACAAATGGAAGAACATTCCATGCTCATGGGTAGGAAGAATCAATATCGTGAAAATGGCCATACTGCCCAAGGTGATTTATAGATTCAATGCCATCCCCATAAAGCTACCAATGACTTTCTTCACAGAATTGAAAAAAACTACTTTAAAGTTCATATGGAACCAAAAAAGAGCCCGCATCGCCAAGTCAATCCTAAGCCAAAAGAACGAAGCTGGAGGCATCATGCTACCTGACTTCAAACTATACTACAAGGCTACAGTAACCAAAACAGCATGGTACTGGTACCAAAACAGAGATATAGACCAATGGAACAGAACAGAGCCCTCAGAAATAATGCCACATATCTACAACTATCTGATCTTTGACAAACCTGAGAAAAACAAGCAATGGGGAAAGGATTCCCTATTTAATAAATGGTGCTGGGAAAACTGGCTAGCCATATGTAGAAAGCTGAAACTGGATCCCTTCCTTACACCTTATACAAAAATTATTTCAAGATGGATTAAAGACTTAAACGTTAGACCTAAAACCATTAAAACCCTAGAAGAAAACCTAGGCAATACCATTCAGGACATAGGCATGGGCCAGGACTTCATGTCTAAAACACCAAAAGCAATGGTAACAAAAGACAAAATGGACAAATGGGATCTAATTAAATTAAAGAGCTTCTGCACAGCAAAAGAAACTACCATCAGAGTGAACAGGCAACCTACAAAATGAGAGAAAATTTTCGCAACCTACTCATCTGACAAAGGGCTAATATCCAGAGTCTACAATGAACTCAAACAAATTTACAAGAAAAAACAAACAACCCCATCAAAAAGTGGGCAAAGGACATGAACAGACGCTTCTCAAAAGAAGACATTTATGCAGCCAAAAAACACATGAAAAAATGCTCACCATCACTGGCCATCAGAGAAATGCAAATCAAAACCACAATGAGATACCATCTCACACCAGTTAGAATGGCAATCATTAAAAAGTCAGGAAACAACAGGTGCTGGAGAGGATGTGGAGAAATAGGAACACTTTTACACTGTTGGTGGGACTGTAAACTAGTTCAACCCTTGTGGAAGTCAGTGTGGCAATTCCTCAGGGCTCTAGAACTAGAAATACCATTTGACCCAGCCATCCCATTACTGGGTATATACCCAAAGTACTATAAAGACACATGCACAGGTATGTTTATTGCGGCACTATTAACAATAGCAAAGACTTGGAACCAACCCAAATGTCCAACAATGATAGACTGGATTAAGAAAATGTGGCACATATACACCATGGAATACTATGCAGCCATAAAAAATGATGAGTTCATGTCCTTTGTAGGGACATGGATGAAATTGGAAATCATCATTCTCAGTAAACTATCACAAGGACAAGAAAACCAAACACCGCATATTCTCACTCATAGGTGGGAATTGAACAATGAGAACACATGGACACAGGAAGGGGAACATCACTCTGGGGACTGTTGTGGGGTGGGGGGAGGGGGAGGGATAGCATTGGGAGATATACCTAATGCTAAATGACCAGTTAATGGGTGCAGCACACCAGCATGGCACATGTATACATATGTAACTAACCTGCACATTGTGCACATGTACCCTAAAACTTAAAGTATAATAATAATAAAATAAAATAAAAAATAAATAAATAAAAATAAAAATGAAAGTAATAATACCTACTCATAAGGTTTTTCCAAGGATTAAATAAACAATGCTGATAAAGCCCTTAGTCCAAAATCTTGTAAAAGGTAAGTGCTCAATAAATAGCATTTCATTATTGCTATTATGATTATTGACTATGTGCTGTAAAATGCTAGGCAGATGGCATGATGGTCACAGCTATCCTGATAGCACGTTTTCGGCTGCTTCCTATCACTTGAAAGGACTTTGATTTAGGTCAAGATGGTTGGAACACAGTAAGGCTCGAAGAGCTCATATTTGCTATTAGAAAAAGTTGGCCAGGCAGGCTGGCTTATGCCTGTAATCCCAGCACTTTGGGAGTCTGAGGCAGGTGGATTGCTTGAGCTCAGGATTTCTAGATCAGCCTGGGCAACATGGTGAAACCATGTCTCTACAAAAACACAAAAATTATCTGGGTGTGGTGCCACATGCCTGTAGCTCCAGCTACTTGGGAGGTTGAGAAGGGAGGATCGATTGAACTCAGGTAGCAGAGGTTGCAGTGAGCCAATATTGCGCCACTGAAATCCAGCCTGAGTGATGGAGCAAGACCCTGTCTCTAAATATAAATAAATAAATAAATAAATAAAGTTGTTTACTTGTCTCTGAATATGAAGTCCAAATTAAATATGTCAGTAGGCCCACATGTGCCTTACCTCAGCAGTTATTTAAAGTTCTCATGTTGTATGTTTCTTTACATGTGGAAAAGGAAAGAGGGGATTAGTTTGGTATTCTTTTAGGCATTTAGATACCTACTAATTAGCGATGTAAATTGGTAAGATCCCTCCTGCCCAGATCTGACAATAATTGACAGAAAAGAATTAATGCCAGGTTTTGAGAAATATACAATTTAACACGGAGTTAATCTGCAACACTGTTCAACTTGAAATTTCCACATACACCCAACTCCCCAGGGACACCACTACCTGTCTGTGTAACCTTGGATAACTTATATAACCTTGCTTAGCTTCAGTTTCTTCCCATGTAAAATGAAAATAAGAATAAGAATACCTAGTTACAAGGCTTTTCCAAGGATTAGGTGACCAATGCAGGAAAAGTCTCTCACACAGAGCACTGTTCATGATTTTACCTCCTGTACTTTACCAAATGCATTGCCATCACCTACAAGAACAGGTGAAAATTTGGTGGGGCTTCTGTTGCTCTTGAAAAAAACTTAAGAAGCCCTGAAACTGGCAAAGTGCTTTTTAAGTCTCCCATGCGACTCAGCCAGGCTCACTAGCATACGCTGGCATTTGTCGGCATTAAAACTCCCCTGCCATTCTAGGAATGGGAGTTCCTGGTGACTGTTTCAAGCAACTACGGGTTGATGATTTGTTAAACAGAATGAGAGAGGAGGGGATGGGGCACCAGTGGGTGGAATTGACTCCTCTGGCCCAAACATTGCCTCAACAGAATTAATTTTGCAGTGCCTAGTGACACAGCTGAGGCCCGTTGGGAAGTTCATGGGGGAGGAATAGCCTTTTCCAGGCACTTTCAATGAATAACACACAGTACACAGCCTCCTGGATACATGGAATTATTCTCACCATAGTTGACAGTACCAGCTCCTGTGTTGCTAGCTTGCACTTTTTAGCTGGATGTTTTTTAAAAAGAGGGGATCAAAATAACTATCTAGTACATGGTGAGTGAACAAACCCCTGACGGCATTTTTTGGTTTCTTGGCAACTCAGAATATCCAGCTATATCAAATGAGCCCATCTAAGAGAAATTTTAGTCTCATTCTTAACTCACATTACCATTTGAAAAACCATAAATGGAGCTTTAGAATGTCCCCCCGCCCCCTGAAAAAAAAATGTCACAAAGGCATAGGCTGCTATGTTAAATAGATGTGTCCCTTAAAAGTTTTAGGAAAAATTAGTGTTTTGGAGGCTGGAGGAAGTGGCTCACACCTGAATCCCAGCACTTTGGGAGGCCTAGGTGGGCGGATCACTTGAGATCAGGAGTTCGAGACCAGCCTGGGCAACATGGTGGAACTCCATCTCTACTAAAAATACAAAAAAAGCTGGGCATGGTGGCAGGGGCCTGTAATCCCAGCCATTCGGGAGGCTGAGGCAGGAGAATCGCTTGAACCCTGCAGGTAGAGATTGCAGTGAGCAGAGATAGCACCCCTGCACTCCAGCAGCCTGGGTAACAGAGTGAGACTCCATCTCAAAAAAAATCAATTAATTAATTAATAATAATTTACAGAATATACTACATAGAGAAACAGAAAACACCTTAATAAAATATTTATTAATATTGTGAAATTGTATTAAGATAATTGAGCAACTGAAAAGCCATAATATAGTACTAAATGAGAATATTGTGTGTTGTAAAGTGTATCCTTCTTGTAGTGAACATTAGTTGGTGGCATCCCTTGAATTTATTTCTCCCCATTCTAACTATACCAACAGTACCTAGAGTTTCCTTTGAGATATCTCCTCCTCTATTCTTGGCCAAGTATTTTAGGTGTGATTGATCATCCTCTTACATTGAGTTCCTTAGGTACAGATTCTGAGACAAGTTGCATACAGAAGGCTTATTGGAGAGTGACCTCAGCAAATACACAATTCAGAATGTAAGGAGGGCAGAATCATGGAGGAACACGCTGAGGCAGTAGCAATGTCGCTGTAATTGAGTCTTAGCTGATTCTCTGGGGAACTATGAAAATGGCATGAGCCCTCAGAGTTAACTCAATAATGAGGCAAGGAAGCAAGATTTTGTGTCCCCACTTCAGCCAGTTGTTGGCTTCAGGCTACCTCCTGGGAGGGGTGTGACTTTGGGTTAGAATCCTCTACAGCCGCAGGGAATTCTCAGAGAGAGCCCAGCAATAAACCATAAGCAGCTAACATTCCCAACAGCTGAAAGAGGGGTAAATCAGCCCTGAAGGGGACCACAGTATCTATTCCACGTCCATCCCCAGCTACAGGGGTGACCCTAACTGGCATAAGTCAATGTTTCCTATCTCTCTGAACACAGCATCCACTTCAGGATTGGGCTCATGACCAGTTTGAGGGCAGCCAGAACCATGAGAATCAATGTCTGGACTTCTACAGGAGCAATTAGAAAGGGAGATATTCAAAAAAAAAAGAAAGGGAGATATTCACTTCCATGAATTAGGACCTGGCGTTATGTATCCTGGCAGCTATCTTGAAGCCACAAAGGCCAAATATGACAAGAAAGCGGCCGTGCATGAAGACGTATTCTTGAGAGATGGGAGAGAAAAACTATGTGAGCCCCAATCAAGCTGCATTTGAAACTAAATTTTATCCCTGGAAGGAGACAGAATGTTCCCTCTTTAGCTTTAGCCAGTTTAGATCAGCTTTTCAGTCCCTTATATTTGCTTCATTTCCCAAATTTATGTATGGAATGGCATATTTCATACTAAGACAGCAAGAGTTTTGCTTTTGAAACTTGACAAATTATTAAATTCCACCTGAAAAAGTAAACAAGAACAGTAGATTAAATGTTTTTTTAAAGTGTAAGAGAGAAAAACAAAACCTATCAGAAATTAAAATATCTCTAAAAGCTTTATTAACACAACTTGCTGCTGTTCAATAATAAACAAGAGATAAGTAGAACAAATAGCACAGAAGTTAGAATAACAATTTAACACATGATAAAGACAATAAAAAATTGAATTGATAATACAATAAAGATGTCATTGGCCAATTGGTAAGCTATTCAGGAAAATTCTACTTAAGACTTGATCTTAAAGTATACATTATATTAATTCATTAGAGATTAGAGAAATAACAACAAAACAGAAAAAAATATAGAAATGAAAACTATTCCAGATGGGGTAGGGGGAGGGGAATTTCCAAGCCTAAAAACAATAGTAGAAATCAAATGTCATTAAATCAATAGTTCCAAGTATGTACACCAAAGCATCCAGCAAAATTAAAAGGCAAGTAAAACACTGGAGAACAGAACAGGCAAAATATTCCTTCCTTTTTTGTAGAAAAAATTTATTCAAGTCAAAAAGAAATGCTAAATAAGACCCTAGTAATTAATAGGTAAGAAAACAATTCATGTAAGAGACAATATAATTAATTAATAAACAACATGGCAAAATATTCAACTTAAATAATGTTGCAAATATTAATGCAAGATATTAAAATATTTTTATATTTTCCACTTTTCAGGTTAGTGATGATTTCCTAATATGGTGATGAATTATCTAATTATAAAAGATGAAAATAGAAATGTATACAATCCTTTTGGATAATAACTTGAAAATATGTATCAAAAGGCTTAAGTGTTCATTATCTGATCCACTGATCGAACTTCTCAGAATCTTCCCAAGTGTAATAATTCTAAACATAAAGAATATTTACTTTGGGAGGCCACTTGAGGAGAGGAGTTAGAGGCCAGCCTAGGCAACATAGCAAGACACCATCTCTACAAAAAATAAAAAATTAGCCAGGCATGGTGGTGCATGCACCTGTAGTCCCATCTGCTTGGGAGGCTAAGGTGAGAGGATCACTTAAGTCCAGGAGGTCAAGGCTGCAGTGACCCATGATCGTGCCACTGCACTCCAGCTTGGGCAACAGAGCAAGACTCTGTCTCAAAAAAAAGAATATTTAAAAATGAAATAATTTTAAGTACAAGGACTTTTACTGCAGAATTTAGGACAGTGAAAATTTTGAAGCCTAAATTTCTAACTCCGGGAGAAAAGTAAAAGCTATAGTATGGCAACCTGCTGATAGTCTAACATTTAAAATAATGGCTGGCAAAACAATCCTAAGCAAAAAAAAAACAGAGCCAGAAGCATCACATTACCTAACTTCAAACTATACAACAAAGCTACAGTAACCAACACAGCATGGTACTGGTGCAAAAACAGACACGTAGACCAATGGAAAAGAATAGGGAACCCAGAAATAAAGCCACATACCTACAGCTATATGATCTTGAACACAGGTGACAAAAATAAGCCAGGGGAAAGAACTCCTTGTTCAATAAATGGTGCTGGGATAGCTGGCTAGCCATATGCAGAGAATGAAATTAGACCCTGTATTAGTACATTTTCAAACTGCTGATAAAGACATACCCAAGACTGGGAAGAAAAAGAGGTTTAATGGACTTACAGTTTCACATGGTGGGGAGGCCTCACAATCATGGCAGAAGTTGAAAGGCACATCTCACATGGTGGCAGACAAAAGAAGAAAGCTTGTGCAGGGAAACTCCTCTTTATAATACCATCAGATCTAGTGAGACTGTTCACTAAAATGAGAACAGCATGGGAAAGACCTGCCTCCATGATTCAATTACCTCTCACCAGATCCCTCCCACAGCATGTAAAAATTCAACATGAGATTTGAGTGGGGACACAGCTAAACCACATCATTCCACCCTTGGCCTCTCCCAAATCTCATGTCCTCATATTTCAAAACCAATCATGCCTTCCCAACAGTCCCCCAAAGTCTTAACTCATTTCAGCATTAACTCAAACGTCCACAGTTCAAAGTCTCATCTGTGACAAGGCAAGTCCTTTCTGCCTATGAGCCTGTAAAATCAAAAGCCAGTTAGTTACTTCCTGGATACAATAGGGGTACAGGCATTGGGTGAATACAGCCATTCCAAATGAGAGAAATTGGCCAAAACAAAAGGGCTACAGGCCCCATGGAAGTCCAAAATCTAGTGGGGCAGTCAAATATTAAAGTTCCAAAATAATCTCCTTTGACTCCATGTCTTGCATCCGGGTCATGCTAATGCAAGATGTGGGTTCCCATAGACTAGGGAAGCTCTGTCTCTGTGGCTTTGCAAGGTACAGCCTCCCTCCTGACTGCTTTTACAGGCTGGTATTCATTGTCTGTGGCTTTTCCAGGCACACAGTGCAAGCTGTTGGTGGATCTACTATTCTGGGTTTTGGAGGACAGTGGCCTTCTTCTCACATCTCCACTAGGCAGCGCCCCAGTGGGGACTCTGTGTGGGGGCTCCCACCTCACATTTCCTTTCCACATTGCCTTAGCAGAGGTTCTTCATGAGTGCCCCACCCCTGCAGCAAACTTCTGCCTGAACATCCAGGCATTTCAATACATCCTCTGAAACCTAGGCAGAGGTTCCCCAACCTCAATTGTTGACTTCTGTGCACTAACAGGCTCAACCACATGGAAGCTGCCAAGGCTTGTGGCTTGCACCCTCTGAAGCCACAGCCTGAGCTGCACCTTTGCCCCTTTTAGTCACGGCTAGAGCAGCTGGGATGCAGGGCACCAAGTCCCTAGACTGCACACAGCAGAGGGGCCCTGGGCCTAGCCCACAAAACCATTTTTTCCTCCTAGGTCTCCAGGCCTGTGATGGGAGGGGCTGCCATGAAGACCTCTGACATGCCCTGGAGACATCTTTTCCATCGTCTTGGGGATTAACATTCATCTCCTCATTACTTATGCAAATTTCTGCAGCCAGCTTGAATTTCTCCTCAGAAAATGGGATTTTCTTTTCTATCGCATTGTCAGGCTGCAAATTTTCCAAACTTTTATACTCTGCTTTCCTTATAAAACTAAATGCCTTTAACAGCACCCAAGTCACCTCTTCCATGCTTTGCTGCTTAGAAATTTCTTCTGCCAGATACCCTAAATCATCTCTTTCAAGTTCAAAGTTCCACAAATCTCTAGGGCAGGGACAAAATACTGCGAATCTCTTTGATAAAATATAACAAGAGTCACCCTCACTCCAGTTCCCAACAAGTTTCTCATCTCCATCTGAGACCACCTCGGCCTGGATTTCATTGTCCATATCACTATCAGCCTTTTGGTCAAAGCCATTCAACAAGTCTCTAGGAGTTCCAAACTTTCCCACATGTTCCTGTCTTCTTCTGAGCCCTCCAAACTCTTCCAGTCTCTGTCTGTTACCCAGTTCCAAAGTTGCTTCCACATTTTCAGGTGTCTTTTCAGCAGTGCCTCACTCTACTGGCACCAATTTACTGTATTAGTCCATTTTCACACTGCTGATAAAGACATACCCAAAACTGGGAAGAAAAAGAGGTTTAATGGACTCCCCACATGGCTGGGGAGGCCTCAAAATCATGGTGGAAGGTGAAAGGCACATCTCACATGGCAGCACACAAAAGAAGAAAGCTTGTGTAGGGAAACTCCCCCTTATAAAACCAGCAGATCTCATGAGACTTATTCACTATTATGAGAACAGCATGGAAAAGACCTGCCCCCATGATTCAATTACCTCCTACCAGGTCCCTCCCACAATATGTGGGAATTCAAGATAAGATTTGGGTGGGGACACAGCCAAACCATATCAGACCCCTACCTATCACCATCTACAAAAATTAACTCAGGATGGATTAACAACTTAAGTGTGACCCCTCAAACTATAAAAATTTTATAAGAAAACTCAGGAACTATCCTTCTTGACATCAGCCCTGGCAAAGCATTTATGGCTAAGACCTCAAAAGCAATTTCAATAAAACAAAAACTGAGAAATGGGACCTAATTAAGCTGAAGAGCTTCTTCACAGTAAGAGAGACTATCAAGGGAGTAAACAGACCACCTACAGAATGGAAGAAGATATTTGCAAACTATGCATCCAACAAAGGTCTAGTATCCAGAATCTATAAGGAACTTAAACAAATCAATAAGCAAAAAACAAACGACTCCATTAAAAAGTGGGGAAAGGACATGAACAGACACTTCTCAAAAGAAAACATACAAGTGGCCAACAAGCATATGAAAAGACGTTAATCGTCATGAATCATCAGAGAAATGCAAATCAAAACCACAATGAGATACCATCTCACACCAGTCAGAATGGCTTTTGTTAGAAAGTCGAAAAATAACTGATGTTGGCAAGACTGCAGAGAAAAGGGAACACGTACATTGTTGGTGGGAACGTAAATTAGTTCAGCCACTGTGGAGAGCAGTCTGGAGATTTCTCAAAGAACTGCACGTTGAAGTACCATTCAACCCAGCAATCCCACTGCTGGGTATATAACCAAGATGATATAGTTTGGCTGTGTCCCCATCCAAATCTCATCTCAAATTATAGCTCGCATAAGTCCTTCATGTTGTGGGAAGGACCAGTGGAAGATAATTGAATCATGGGGGCAGTTTCCCCCATACTGTTCTCATGGTAGTGAATAAGTCTCAGGAGATCTGATGGTTTTATAAGGGGAAACCCCGTCCACTTGGCTCTCACCCTTCTCTTGTCTGCTGCCACGTAAGATGTGCCTGTTGTCTTCTGACATGATTGTGAGGCCTTCCTAGCCACACAGAACTGTGAGTCCATTAAACCTCTTTCTTTTGTAAATTGCCCAGTCTTGGGTATGTCTTTATAGCAGCATGAAAATGGACTAATACACAAGGAAAATAAATCATTCTACTAAAAAGATACAAGTACCTTTATATTCATCGCAGTGCTATTCAGCATAGCAAAGACATGGAATCAACCCAGTGCCAGTCAGTGATGGACTGGAAAAAGAAAATGTAGGACATATACACCATGGAATACTACCCAGCCATAAAAAAGAATGAAATCCTGTCCTTCACAGCAACATGGATGCAGCTGGAAGTTAAAATTATCCTAAATGAATGAATGCAGGAACAGAAAACTGAATACCCCATGTTCTCACTTGTAAGTGGGAGGTAAATATTGGGTACTCATGGACATAAAAGTGGGAACAGTGGGCACTGGGGAATACAAGAGGTTGGGGAGAGAGAGGGTTTTAAGGGTTGGAAAAACTACCTACTATGTACTGTGCTCACTACCTGGGTGACAGATTCATTTGTACTTCAAACCTCAGCATTATATAACGTAACTTTGTAACAAACTTGCACATGTAAGACCTGATTCTAAAATAAAAGTTGACATATATACATATACATATACATATGGCTGGCCATGGTGGTGCATGCCTGTAATTCCAGCTATTTGGGAGGCTGAGGCGGGAGGATCACTTGACCCCAGGAGTGCAAGACCAGCCTGGCCAACATAGGAAGACTGTCTAAAAAAAAAAGCAATACCATGAAAAATATTTATAAATAATGTTAACTATTAAAAGCCAAATACAGGCCGGGCGCGGTGGCTCACGCCTGTAATCCCAGCACTTTGGGAGGCCGAGGCGGGCGGATCACGAGGTCAGGAGATCGAGACCATCCCGGCTAAAAACGGTGAAACCCCGTCTCTACTAAAAATACAAAAAAATTAGCCGGGCGTAGTGGCGGGCGCCTGTAGTCCCAGCTACTTGGGAGGCTGAGGCAGGAGAATGGCGTGAACCCGGGAGGCGGAGCTTGCAGTGAGCCGAGATCCCGCCACTGCACTCCAGCCTGGGCAACAGAGCGAGACTCCATCTCAAAAAAAAAAAAAAAAAAAAGCCAAATACAAAATTGTGTACAGAGCATAATTCGAACTATATAAAACATACACACACAGCAAGCCTAGTCTTTATGTAGGTGAAAACTAGAAAAAAAATGAATATACAAAATTGCTAAGATAATCTTTTGGAGTGGTGATACTGTGGATAATTATCATTTTCTCTATGTTCCATTTTTATTTAATGAGTGTAAACATGTGATAAACAAAAACATTTTCTTTAAAATTCTGCCACAAATTTTCAGGGACATTTTGAAATATAGACAAAATTTAAAATTTACTAAAATGTAAGGTGATTGAAAAAAATTACAAAACAGTAGGTACAGTAGCATTTCATTTTGGTAAGAAAAATATGTATAACTTTTTCCTTCTCTAGCTTCAACTCCTTCCTCTCTACCATTGTCTTCCATTTTTCTGTCAATTTACTCGAGCTACTACTATCTTAGAAACAAATGAAAAAGAGAAAAAGTTAGCTTTTCACTCAATTTCCATCACTATGCTCTTCTTTGCTTCATTTAATACTCTTTGTAAGAATTCTTTATCCTCCTTGTCTTCACTCTCCCCTTCCACTCAATCCTCCACTCACTGCAATATGCCCTCACCTCCAGCACCCCAGAAACTCCCTTTGCTTGGCTCTTCAGTGAGCCCCAGGTTGAAAAACAAAATTAACATTTTCAATGCTTATTTGACTTGACTTTTGTAGCATTTGATGTTGTTGACCATGCTCGGCTTACCTTCTCTTTCTGACAACTCTCTTCTGGTTTTTCTTTTACTCTTCTGGCTTCTTCCTTTGAAGCTTCTCTTACTCTCCTTTTTTCTTAACTATTGGCATTTTATAGGTTGTTACACTTTCCATACCTGTACCTTAAATGCCACCTCTTCAGTGATAAATCCAAACTTTATATAATTATCTTGGACCCTCAGCTCACATCCTTCCTAACATTCAGAATAAACTCAAGCATCTGCTCATTTGACAATATTCTCTAACCAAACATATCCTGCTCTCAGTCAAGAAGGTGCTAAGTGCTTTTCCTCTCTATCCCTGCATGTTGTTTTTCTAAAATAATACTTCACATTTCTGCAATCATTGGTTTGCTTGATCAATCTCTTCCATACGAGGATAAGAATCATGTTTGACTATTCTTATAGCTCCCTTGTCTTGCAAAATACCTGACACAAAATAGTATCCGCGCCCCGCCCCCCCAAAAAAGCAAGTAATCTGATGAGACAGAAAATGAAAAAAAAAAAAGCAAGTAATCTGATGAGACAGAAAATGAGTCACTTTCTGGAGCTTGAAATAAGACTGGGGCTAGAATGGCTGCCCAAATCTATAATTAAATTTGGTATCAAATTTCTATCTGTGGACTCCAAATTCAATATGATCCTCTCCTTGCCTCAACACCTCAACAGCATGCCTCATTGCAGCAGCATACAAGCCACGAGGTTACCTGAGCCATCCATCTATGGACAAATTGTAAAGCAGAAGAAATGTAATGTCTGTCTTCAGCGTCTTTCCCCAATTAGCACCCTCCCCCTGCCTTCCCTGCAGCCATCTCGGACACTCTAGTGCCCTAAGCTCACTGGCTTTAGTCCAGTGTCATTGCCAGGCTTCTCTCTGCCATATCCTCATTGTTCCAACCAAATATTGTTGCAACTCACCTATCTTACATCTTATGACCTCATGATCATCTGCTTAATCTAGTCAAAATCCAGGTCAGCTGTCGGGGGTCTCCCTAACCCACAGGCCCGGCCAATTGTTTCAACTGCTTCTCAATTCAAATTCCATCCTTCATGATTTCTAAAACTCCTAGGGGTCTAATAGCTCTACAGCATTCTAATAGCATTGCTATTGATATAGTGTTTGCTACTGATTTATCAATTTTGAGAAAAGTCAGTGGTTACTAAGTCTTAAGAAACAAATTACAGGAAACATTTCTTTCTACAAAAGAAAATCATTTTTAAATGTTTATTTACTTTTTTTTTTTTTTTTTTTTTTTTGAGACAGAGTCTCGCTGTATCACCCAGGCTGGAGTGCAGTGGAATGATCTCAGCTCACTGCAACCTCCTCCTCTCAGGCTCAAGCAATTCTCCTCCATCAGCCTCCTAAGTGGCTGGGACTACAGGCACACGCCACCACGCCCGGCTAACTTTTGTATTTTTATTTTCAGTAGAGACAGGGTTTCGCCATGTTGGCCAGGCTGGTCTCAAACTCCTGACCTCAAGTGATCTGCCCACCTCAGCCTCTCAGAGTGCTGGGATTACAGGCATGAGCCACTGCACCCAGCCTATTTATTTATTTTGTTTGGAGACAGGGTCTTGCTCTTTTGCCCAGGCTGGAGTGCAGTGGCATAATCACACCTCACTGCAGCCTCGAACTTTTGGGCTAAACCTATCCTCCCACCTCAGCCTCCTAAGTAGCTGGGAGTACAGACACATGCCATCACATCTGACTAAATTTTTTTATTTTTTTGTAGAGACAGGGACTCAGTTTGCTGCTGAGGTTGGTGTCGAACTCCTGGCTCCAAGCAATCCTTTCACCTCGGTACCTCAAAAGAAAATCAATTTGTAATATTAGCATAGAATAACATAGGCCAGTGCCCCAACCAGCTCTTCTTCTTTTTTTTTTTTAATTATTATTATACTTTGAGTTCTGGGATACATGCGCAGAACTTGCAGGTTTGTTACATAGGTACACACGTGCCATGGTGGTTTGCTGCACCTATCAACCTGTCATCTAAATTAGGTATTTCTCCTAATGCTATCCCTCCCCTTGCTCCCCACCCCACAACAGGCCCCAATGTGTTATGTTCACCTCCCTGTGCCCATATGTTCTCATTGTTCAACTCCCACTTATGAGTGAGAACATGCAGTGTTTGGTTTTCCGTTCCTGTGTTAGTTTGCTGAGAATGATGGTTTCCAGCTTCATCCATGTCCCTGCAAAGGACATGAACTCATTCTTTTTTATGGCTGCACAGTATTACGTGGTGTATATGTGCCACATTTTCTTTATTCAGTCTATCATTGATGGGCATTTGGGTTGGTTCCAAGTCTTTGCTATTGTGAACAGTGCTGCAATAAACATACATGTGCATGTGTCTTTGTAGTAGAATGATTTATAATACTTTGGGTATATATCCAGTAATGGGTTGCTGGGTCAAATGATATTTCTGGTTCTAGATCCTTGAGGAATCGCCACACTGTCTTCCACAATGGTTGAAGTAATTTACACTCCCACCAACCATGTAAAAGCGTGCCTATTTCTCCACATCCTCTCCAGCATCTGTTCTTTCCTGACTTTTTTTTTTTGAGACAGAGTTTCTCTCTTGTTGCCCAGGCTGGAGTGCAATGGCCTGGTCTCGGCTCACTGCAACCTCCACTTCCCAGGTTCAAGTGATTCTCCTGCCTCAGCCTCCCAAGTAGCTGGGATTACAGGTGCCCACCACCATGCCCAGCTAATTTTTGTACCATGTTGGTCAGGCTTGTCTCAAACTCTTGACCTCAGGCAATCTGCCTGCCTGGGCCTCCCAAAGTGCTGGGATAACAGGTGTGAGCCACTGCGCCCAGCCTGTTTCCTGACTTTTTAATGATCTCCATTCTAACTGGCATGAGATAGTATCTTATTGTGGTTTTGATTTGCATTTCTCTAATGACCAGTGATGATGAGCTTTTTTTCATAAGTTTGTTGGCTTCATAAATGTCTTGTTTTGAGAAGTGTCTGTTCATATCCTTCACCCACTTTTTGATGGGGTTGTTTTTTTCTTGTAAATTTGTTTAAGTTGCTTATAGATTCTGGATATTACCCCTTTGTGAGACAGATAGATTACAAAAATTTTCTCTCATTCTGTAGGTTGCCTGTTCACTCTGATGATAGTTTCTTTTGCTGTGCAGAAGCTCTTTAGTTAGATCCCATTTGTCAATTTTGGCTTTTGCTGTCATTGCTTTTGGTGTTTTAGTCATGCAGTCTTTGCCCATGCCTATGCCCTGAATGGTATTGCCTAGGTTACCCCTAGGGTTTTTATGGTTTTAGGCCTTATGTTTAAGTCTTTAATCCATCTTGAGTTAATTTTTGTACAAGGTTTAAGGAAGGCATCCAGTTTCAGTTTTCTGCATATAGCTAGCCCGTTTTCCCAACATCATTTATTAAATAGGGAATCCTTTCCCCATTGCTTGTTTTTCTCAGGTTTGTCAAAGATCAGATGGTTATAGATTTGTGGTGTTATTTCTGAGGCCTCTGTTCTGTTCCATTGGTCTATATCTCTGTTTTGGTACCAGTACCATGCTGTTTTGGTTACTGTAGCCTGATAGTATAGTTTGAAGTCAGGTAGCGTGATGCCTCCAGCTTTGTTCTTTTGGCTTAGGAATGACTTGGCAATGCGGCCTCTTTTTGGTTCCATATGAACTTTAAAGTAGTTTTTTCTAATTCTGTGAAGAAAGTCAGTGGTAGCTTAATGGGAATAGCATTGAATCTATAAATTACTTTGGGCAGTATGGCCACTTTCACGATATTGATTCTTCCTAACCATGAGCATGGAATGTTTCCCATTTGTTTGTGTCTTCTCATTTCCTTCCCCAGTGTTTGTAGTCCTCCTTGAAGAGGTCCCTCACATCCCTTGTAAGTTGTATTCCTAGGTACTTTATTCTCTTAGTAGCAATTGTGAATGGGAGTTCACTTATGATTTGGCTGTTTGTCTATTATTGGTGTATAATAATGCTTGTGATTTTTGCACATTGATTTTGTATCCTGAGACTTTGCTGAAGTTGCTTATCAGCTTAAGGAGTTTTGGGGCTGAGACAATGAGGTTTTCTAAATATACAATCATGTCATCTGCAAACAGAGACAATTTGACTTCCTCTCTTCCTATCTGAATATCCTTTATTTCTTTCTCTTGCCTGATTGCCCTGGCCAGAACTTCCAATACTATGTTGAATAGGAGTGGTGAGAGAGGGCAT
The DNA here is from genome assembly GCF_000001405.40 of Homo sapiens. Taxonomy (NCBI): domain Eukaryota; kingdom Metazoa; phylum Chordata; class Mammalia; order Primates; family Hominidae; genus Homo; species Homo sapiens. Next base: position 112,499,022 of record NC_000004.12, read on the forward strand.
CCTTGTCTTGTGCCGGTTTTCAAAGGGAATGCTTCCAGCTTTTGCCCATTCAATATGATATTGGTGTGGGTTTGTCATAAATAGCTCATATTATTTTGAGATATGTTCCATCAATACCTAGTTTATTGAGTGTTTTTTTTTTTTTGGAGTTGCGCTCTTGATGCCCAAGCTGGAGTGCAATGGTGTGATCTCAGCTCACTGCAACCTCCACCTCCTGGGTTCAAGCGATTCTCCTGCTTCAGCATTTTGAGTAGCTGGGATTACAGGCATGCACCACCACGCCCAGCTAATTTTGTATTTTTAGTAGAGACGGGGTTTCTCCATGTTGGTCAGGCTGGTCTCGAACTCTTGGCCTCAGGTGATCTGCCCCCTTTGACCTCCCAAAGTGCTGGGATTAGAGGCATGAGCCTTCGCGCCTGGCCTTGAGTGTTTTTAGCATGAAGGTGTGTTGAATTTTTATCAGAGGCCTTTTCTGCATCTATTGAGATAATCATGTGGTTTTTGTCTTTGGTTCTGTTTATGTGATGGATTACGTTTATTGATTTGCATATGTTGAACCAGCCTTGCACCCCAGGGATGAAGTCGACTTGATCGTGGTGGATAAGCTTTTTAATGTGCTACTGGATTTGGTTTGCCTCTCCAACCAGCTCTTCTATGAGAGGACAGTTCAAAAACTATTGTTGAGAAAACCTGAACCATTTATGCAAATGAAGGGCCTAGAAACAAAGAGGCAAGTAGCCATTATGTGATGTGGTCCATCTGCCACAAAGTAACTCCACCAACCTTCAAAGAACTAGAAAATGGGTCTTTTTGGTGTTTCCTTAAAGACTTGAAAGAGTGAGCAGTTTAAGAGAAACCATTATTGAAAATAATTACTACTATTCAAAAAGCATTTTATACTTTTCCAAGGATACATACATTGTATCATTTAAACCTTATAGCAGTCTTACCTGGGGGCAATAAATTTTATTAAATTTAATTAAAAATATTGTTTTCCTGGCCGGGCGCAGTGGCTCATGCCTGTAATCCCAGCACTTTGGGACGCCGATGTGGGCAGATCACGAGGTCAGGAGATCGAGACCGTCCTGGCTAACGTGGTGAAACCCTGTCTCTACTAAAAGTACAAAAAATTAGCGGGGCATGGTGGCACGTGCCTGTAGTCCCTGCTACTCGGGAGGCTGAGGCAGGAGAATCACTTGAACCTGGAAGGTGGAGGTTGCAGTGAGCCGAGATCACGTTACTGCACTCCAGCCTGGGCAACAGAGCAAGACTCCATCTCAAAAAAAATAAAAATAAAAATATTGTTTTCCTGTAAGAAAAGCAATATGTATACATTCACATCAACAGGTGAATGGATGAGCAAAATGTGGCATAGACTTTCAATAGAATATTATTCAGCCTTTAAAAGGAATGAAATTCTGACACATGCTACAAGTTGAATGAATCTTTAAAATATGCTAAGTGAAATAGACCAGACACAAAAGGAAAATATTGCATGATTCCACTTACATAAGCCACCTAGAAAAGGCAAATTCATAGAGACAGAAAATAGGATAGAAGTTTCTAAGAGCTGGGGACTGGGGATAATGGGGAATTCTTTAGTGGGAACAAACTTTCTGTTTAGGATGGTGAGCAAGTTCTTTAAGTAGCCAAGCTGATAACTGCATAATATTGTGAATTTACTTAATGCCACTGAATTGTACTTAAAGGTGGTTAAAATGGTAAATGTTACATGTATTTCACCACACTATAACAAGTGATATCTGTTCAAAGCTGAAAAGTAGAAAGTATCAAATAAACAATAATTATAAATTTTAAAATAGTCATGATTCAACCACCAGGATGACTACTATTAATATTTAAAGTTTGAATGTCTTCTTATGTAAAATAGAAATAATAATAGTAGCTACATCAGAGGGTTGTTATGAAGTTTTATAAAATAATCTATGTAAATGACTTAGCAATGGTCCTAACATGTAAGCACAATGAATGTTAGCTGTTATTACAGCTATTATTTGATAATTATTTGATAATTTTACACACATTACTCTAATCTGCTTTTTTTTTTTTTTTTTTTTGAGATAGAGTCTCACTCTATTAGCCAGGCTGGAGTACAGTAGTATGATCATAGCTCACTGCAGCCTCAAACTCCTGGGCTCAAGTGATCCTCCTGCCTCAGCTTCTGAAGTAGCTGGTAATACAGGTACATGTCACCACACCTGGCTAATTAAAAAAAAAAAAAATTCTTGCAAAGCCAAGGTCTCACTATGTTGTCCAGGCTGGTTTTGAACTCCTGAGCTCAAGAGATCCTCCTGCCTTGGCCTCCCAGAGTGTTGGGATTACAGGCATGAGCCATCATGCCTGACCTAATCTGCTGTTTTCAACCTAACGATATATTGGGAACATATTTTTATGTCCATAAAAAGACACATGATTTGTTATTTCTGAGCACTCTTTCATTGTAAGAAAATAAATGTAAATGCAAAGTTTAGCTACAATGCTGTTTATGTTAGAGAAAAACTGGAAACTGTCTACATATTCTGTGATCGAAGACAGAGCTTACAGCTGTAGAACTAAGAGCGCAGACAGACTAAGGAACTTATTCAGAATTACACAGAGGGAGCCACAACTCAAACCTGACCCTTTCATTGTTAATGTTATGCTCTTTCTCTTAAGGTAGGCTTTTTGATTATCAAGCCATTAACCATCAGTATCATTTAGATAAGAGGTTAGACAATGACTTTTTTGGGAGACAGAACTTTGTTCACCTGGAAGGAATTCTTGCTCTCCCCCTATCAGTTGTCCCAGCAAAAGTACCTTTGTTCCAACAGATGTACCTCTTTTACTCTCAAACCATCATCTAGTCAGGAGCCCTATGCACACCAGATGTTTTGAATAAGTGGTGACCTTATCCTGGGAGACTCTTAGTCTTATCTTATTATTATGTTAGTTATTATCTTAATATTATCTTACACTTATTATTTATTTTATACTTATTAAATATACTTATTATTATCTTAGTCTTATTATCTTAGTCAAATTACTCTTCATAGGCTTAAAGTCCCCTTAATACTCAAAATATATTAATAACTTTTTCCCTCTATTCATAAAAAGATTAAATGATACATTGTAGAAATTCTCAAGTAAATCTCACCATGACCGCTGTTGATCTTCCTTAGAGAGAGAAAAAAAAAATCACAACATAGCAACAAATGGAACATAATGCTTGCAAAATTCCTTTGGCTAATCTTTGTTCAGAACTTATGTGGGTTTTTCCTGAAAAAGGGATTCAAGAAAGAAAACTTACATGAGGTTATTGTTTAATGTTGCTACCAAAGAAGAGAGAGTTACCTGCCCTTTCAATCTGGCTCAGAGGCATGTTACAGATGCTGGAGATAGCAACATTGAACAAAGGGTGAGCAGGTACACACACGACACACACACCTGTCCTCCTGGAGTTTACATTCTAATGAGGGAAGATAATGTAAATAAAATAAATTAGTAAGATAGTATGCTTCTTGGTGGTAAGTGTGAGAAAAATAAAGATAGCTGAGCATCAAATTAATGTATATCATAAATGGAACAAGGATTTAAAAATTATATATATATTCACAACATGGTCTCTAACTGAATTAATATCTAAAAATAAACTATAAGCTTATAAAAGAAAAAAGATCATTTATTGACTTGGATCTCTCAGAGTCTTTGCATCGTATGGGGAAAATTAAACCTCGTTGCTAAAGATCGATACTTTTGGAACTTTTCATGAAGTTCAGTGACAGAGTAGTACATATCCAGTCCTTGGGGGGGGGAAAATGTTATTCTAAGTTGGCGCTAAGGGAACACTAGTTCATAGGAGAGAAGTACAAATCCAAACCACCATGCTTGGTGCTGGTTCCTTCAGATCTCACTACCTCTTCTCTGCTCTACAGCTCTCTGCTCTGAGGCCACCATCTCCCTCTTCAGCGCACCAGACCATCATGTTAATAAGAGCTGATTTGTAAATAGCGTCTCCCTCACTCCATCACAACCCCCCTTTGGCCAGGCTCCTACTTTCCTGCTCAATGGCACAGATGCGGCTTTGAGCTGAGGGGGAGCCAGGCAGCTATTAGCAGCAAATCCAGTGAGGGAAATTAATGAAGGGGACAACTAATAAAAGACAGCTCAGGACAGCCGGACTAACTTGCTCTTGCTCCGAGCAGTAATTAACTTTCTTTTTTTTTTTTTTTTTTTAGCTCATGAAGGTAAATATGTCATCGACACTGGTCCAGTCTAACTCTTCTTTATTAAAAAAGAGAGCAGAGCTATTCATGGGGAGCTGAGACTTAATCTGTTTTCCCCCCAAGAAGAACAATTTTAAATTATTGTGTGATGTGTTTATAGGTCCATGATGTCCAAATCAAGAGACACCTTTAAAGATCAGGGAGAAATGAGGCAGTTGAAGGAATACAACTCTCTGAACAAAAGAAATTGTCATCCCCTGCTTGGAAGCAGCTTAAAAGAAAGAAACCATTTTCAAAAATTTACTTCTCCTCCCCACCTAAAATGATTGACCTGTGTTCAGTACAAGTGCTGAATGAAAAACAAAATTGAATCCAAGGCACATGGCAGGTCTTAGATGTCAGTGCTAAATATTAGCCTAGCTTGAGGGTCTTTTCAGTTGCCTCCTTCAAGCTTCCAGTTTTCATTTTTAAAGGCATAGTTATAAAAAGCAAGTTAAAATGTGGTTTCTCCAAGTATTTTTGAAAATTAATATGGACTCTCTGAAAAGCAAAATCTTTCTAAAAATATATCAAGATAAATCTGTTAGATTTTAACTAAAAGTGTTTCTAAAAGCAAACCTAGTGTACTTTATTTTTAAAAAGACATTGAAAAGTGAAGCTAGAATAGCGTTTGGAAATACTTGGTATAACCATAAACAGTTGTTCTAACCTTAGGCCTACTATACCAGGCTAAGAGACCTACTCATAGTTATATAGCCACTCAGTAACAGAAAGGACTCTAATCACTTAGTCCAATGCTCTGGCTTCTTCAAAATGAAAAAACCCCATCACATACTCTAAGTTTGTAAGCTAATTATAGTACTTCAATTTAATGTGTAGTTTAATCACATTGTCCTTTTAAGCCTGGGTACAACAGGATCAAATTGTACATCACAGTGAATTTTATCCATGGGCTCAGGAATCAATCTACTCTTCAAACTGGCCTCCAGACCCGTTGAACTACCTCTGGCCCATTCTGGAAAAAGATGGGGCAAAAAACATATTTACCTTCAGGACTCTGTCAAACCATCTACTCTGTCAAGATGGCTTCATTCAGGAGGAGTAGGTACCCAGATAATGGGTGCTCTCTTACAAAATTGATCGCAATTTTGCATCAGTCAATAACACTATGCAAAGGAGAGTACAGCTCCATTTTGTTAATTATTTCCCGAAAGGTAGCAGAAGAACTAGTTGTTGTGAGTGATAGAACTTTATACATGCTTACTTCTATAATAATAGTGTGGACAATTCAAATTAAAGTTAATTAAACTGAGATAGAGAAAAATGAGGGCAGGGGTCCTATATGCTTTAAAAATAAATATGAACAGTATTTGCGAGGAGCTGGAGGGAAGAAGAAATGAGAGTTGTTGTTTAATGAGTATAGAATTTCAGTTTTGCAGGATGAAAAAGTTCTGAAGATTTGTTGCACAGCAATATGAATATACTTTACGCTACTAAGCTGTACACTTAAAATGGTTAAGATGGTTTTTTAAAATCACTTTTGGAACAGCTGAAGATTTTAAGGCATTAAAACATTCTTACATGGCCCAAAATAAAAATAAAAATGACTTTTAAAATAACAGAATCTTCAAATTCTTCAAAGTTGGGCTATCAAGTTTTAGTCAATGTATAAGACTTTTTTTTAATTTTGTTGCTACAAATAAGTTATATACTCCCTGAATAAATACACAACCATATTAATCAGGGTAGGCGAAATTATGATGCAATAACAACCAACCACCAAATCTAAGTGGCTCAGCTCACAAGTTTTTCTCTCTCATACAACATCCACTGTGAGTTTAGGCGACTCATAAGGACCACTGTTCTTTATGTGGTCACTCAGGAGCCCAACTAGCGTTGATATTTTGGCCTTACTATCTTAAGGCAAGAGGAAGATAGAGACAAGAGATGGAGGCTCGCTCCGTTATAAATGGTCTGAGCATGCCCAGAAGGATTAGAGAATCAGATATGGCAAAGACTAGGAACATCCTCCACAATATCCAGCAGTAGTGTTTTGTCAGGTGAAACACAATTAACTGAATATCATGGAATGAAAGGAAATAGCAAGCTTTCTTTCATTTTGTTTATTTATTTATTTATTTTTATTTTGAGAAATGTTCTCACTCTGTCACCCAGGCTGGAGTGCAGTGGTGAGATTACAGTTCACTGCAGCCTTGACTTCCTGAGCTCAAGCAATCCTGCCACCTCAACCACCTGAAGAGTTGGGACTACAGGCATACACCACCATGCTGGCTAATTTTTAATTTTTTTAGAGAGACGAGGTCTCCCTAAATTGCCCAGGCTGGTCTCAAACTCCTCAAGCAATCCTCCCACCTCAGCCTCCCAAAGTACTGGGATTACAGGTATGAGCCACCACACCAGACCTCTTCAAGCTTTAAATAAGAGTCTAAAAATAGTGCAAAAGAAATTGTGTTTCCTGGAACTTGTGAAAATATTGCCTCTTGTGTAGGGGAGAGCACTGTAGGAAAAGAAATAATTCTACTTAAACAGTAATATAGTGCAAAAGGACAACGAAGTGAATAATCCGATGGCTATGAATGTTACTAGATTCTGTGAGATGCCAGTGAGACACTGCATGGTGTAATCATTGTTGCCTTGTTTAATGTTGCCTTGAGACTTGTAATCCTTTCCAATTTGCTAACAAAATTTCTAGAATTTGAAAGTGTGTCATGAGTACAAAAGGGTGGAGAAGCTCAATATTTATGAATACTCTCTTTCTAGTCCCTTACCAAAAATATGGTAACATTAGAATCAAAATGCCCTTGGGGAGAGTTTCACTCACTTTGCTGGGGTAGGGGGAAAAAAGGTATTGAAGAAAATTGAACCTTTGACTTTTTTCCTTAGAAAGTTCAAGAAGGAGGCCGGGCACCACAGCTCATGCCTGTAATCCCAGCACTTTGGGAGGCTGAGGCGGGCGAATCACTTGAGGCCAGGAGTTTGAGACCAGCCTTGGCTAACATGGTGAAACCCCATCTACCAGAAATACAAAAATTAGCCAGGTGTGGTGGCATGTGCCTGTAATCCCACATACATGGAAAGGTGAGGCATAAGAATCCCTTGAACCTGGGAAGCGGAGACTGCAGTGAACCAAGATCGTGTCACTGCACTCCAGCCTTGGCGACTCCATCTCAAAGAAAAAAAGAAGTGGGCTGGAGCAGTAGCCATGCCTATAATCCCAGCACTTTGGGAAGCTGAAGTGGGAGGGTTGCTTGAGCCCACTGGGAAACATAGGGGAGGCCTCATCTCTATGAAAAATTTTTAAAAGATTAGCTAGGCGTGGCGGTGTATGCCTGAAGTCCCAGCTACTCAGGAGGCTAACATGGAAGAATCGCTTGAGCCCAGGAGACGGAGGCTACAGTGACCCAGGATTGTGCCACTACCCTCTAACCTGGGTGACAGAGTGACATCCTGTCTCAAAAAAAAGATAAAAAAGAAAAAAAGAAATAAGCAGAGGCAGCAATTACCTGGTTACCGGGAGAACTATATCCAGTCATTGGCACCACAAATATTTTCTCCAATCTGCTTTGTAAGGTATTATGGTAATTACCACACCATGCATGTGTTATGAAAGTGTAGGCAAGATACAGAGTAATGTGGAGGTGAGGAGGGTACAACTGGCCAGTGCCTTCATCAGTTCAGCTTCACCTCCTATAGTTCAAAACAAAATGGTTCTGAAAACTCTCAGACATTTAGAAAACTCTCCCCAGTGTAGAACAGAAAAACCTGAGATGCCGGCTACTCAAGGAGAACTGAACCCCCTTAAAAATTGTTTGCTGACAGAATAATAATTGAAAATGTCAGATGGAGTCTCCTACATCTACTGAAAATTACAGCAAGGAGTTTCTATTGCAGATACCATGAAAAACTCTACTGGACGTGTTTGCCCGTGCACATGCCCAATGTCACACAGAGATATAGTCCAAAATCATCTCCTAATTCAAGAGAAACACTGGATGTGAACTCAGGACTTCTGAGTTCTTTACTGTTTTTCCAGCAAAATTATGTTTTTTTCTCGTCTGCTTCCAAGCTGTTGCCATGGTAATTTTGAGGGTTAGGGGAAATATTAACTTAGATAGGATTTTTTTTAACTTTTTTTTTTTTTTTTTTTTTTTTTGAGATGGAGTTTTCACTCTTGTTGCCCAGGCTGGAGTGCAGTGGTGCGATTTCAGCTCACTGCAACCTCAGCTTCCCGGATTCAAGTGATTCTTCTGCCTCAGCCTCCTGAGTAGCTGGGATTACAGGTGCGGGCCACCACGCCTGGCTAATTTTTGTATTTTTTTGTTAGAGACCGGGTTTCACCATGTTGGCCAGGCTGGTCTTGAACTCCTGACCTCAGATGATCCGCTTGCCTCGGCCTCCCAAAGTGCTGGGATTACAGGCGTGAGCCTCTGCGCCCGGCCCTTATTTATTTATTTTGAGATAGGGTCTCACTCTGTCGCCCAGGCTGGAGTCCAGTGGTGCGATCTCGTCTCACTGCAACCTCTGCCTCCAGGGTTTAAGCAATTCTCCTGCCTCAGCCTCCTGAGTAGCTGGGATTACAGGTGTCGCCACCAGCCTGGCTAATTTTTGTATTTTTAGTAGAGAGGGGTTTCAACATGTTGGCCAAGCTGGTCTCGAACTCCCAGCCTCAAGTGATCCTCCCGCTTCAGCCTCCCAAAGTTCTGGGATTACAGACGTTAGCCACCACATCTGGTCTAGATAGGTTTGATTTTTAAAAACACCTTTTTGATCACAGTCTATGCACTGTGATATGAAAAAAAGTATTAATACAATGATTATCTGAAATTTACAGCTAGTCTTTCCTTTAGTTTCACAGGTATGTTCAACGTTTTATCTCACTTGAGTTCTTTCCCAAGATTATCTGGAAAGTAAGGCAAAAATAAATAAATCATATTGAATCAACCTTCCTCATATTGAATCCACCTTCTTGTATTGGTTTATATATGATGTTTCAGTAGATGTAAAAGTTTGAAAAAAAAAACAAGATTAAACTAAACTTATCTCAGAATCCTTCGTGTTTGATTACTTCAATGCATAGCAAGATTTATGTACTGCAAAAAAAAAAAAGAAATGGAAAGAAAGCAATGGCAAGCCTGTGGGGTTACTCTTTTGTCACACTGGCACTAGTTTGGCTTCTTTTGGCTATTCTTATGCCAAGGAGGCAATAAACCCCCTTGAGAGTCATAGAGCTGCCCGCGGAGCCCTGACCCTGCGGAGAAGCTTTTATGCCAACATACAATACACAAAGGGATCATAAACACGTTTGAAAACGAAGATGACCTCTTTGTCACTTGGCATTAGGCTTTATTGCAAGCTGCTGCCATGGAAACCAGCCCCCAGCTCTCTCCATATTTTAAGGCTTCCTGTTTCCATTTTACGTGGACTTCAGCACCTTTATTTAATCCTTTCTACATCAAATAAGATAGGTGAAAGGTTTTGGTTCTTTGCTCCATTGTTTAACGTCTCCACGTATGCCTTTAGTTATGGAGCAAAAAGGACTGTAAGTGGAATCGACGATTTGAGTGCAGATGGAAACAAAGAGAAGGTGATAATGGAATCAATAGAAAGAAATGGAGATAAACATTGGTGACACAACCTGCTGTACAATTCGACAAGATCTATCAGAGAAGATATACACTCCGTATTGAATATTTAAAAAGCCAGCTGCAGTCCAAACAGGCTACTCTAGGAGATGTGTCCTTTGGAAATAACTTTAACATGTTGCCTCTTGATTTCTTGCACGGCTGGACTTCCATGTGCAGTAAGTAGAGTCTGCCAGGTAACACGAATCTAAACAGCTGCCCCCAAAGTCGAGCCTTAAAAATATGTTTCCATTGGGAGGAACTGTGGATCCTGGGTTCTTTTATTTCCTAAGAAATATGTAACTTTTGTTTTGTAAGAAAGTGAATATGCAGAAAACCGAATGCTTATATAGTTACAGCCTTGAAAAGTAAAAGCAAAGATAACCAAGTAAAAAGAGAATTCACGATGAGCTAACTACCGCTGAAGCTCTGCGATCCAAAAGCTGCTGGGACATCTGAAGAATGGCCTGGGGTCAGTTCGGTGAGATGCGGGGCCGAGGAGGAGAAGGAGTGGGACCGTGGGCGTGCAGGTGTTTCAAGGATCCTCCTCCTTTCCCCCTTCCATCTCTGATTCCATCTCCAATTTGGATCCCGGGAGGCCGAGCATCTCTCACGCGGTTGACACCTCTCCAGGCTGGAGCGCGAAGCCGGCGCCTGCCCGGGTAATCAGGGAGGCCTGGCCTTTCACGCGGTGTTCTCAGTCAGTAATCCAAGTTGGCATTTCCCCCTTCGCGCTCTGAGCAGCTGGAGAAGCAGAGAATGCTAGCGAAAGCAGACAGAACCACCCCTGTCTCCCCTCCCCCGACCCTGGCACCGAGAGGGGGAAAAAAGTCGTTTGTTGTAACGCACACACCATCAGGATTCTTCCCCATTCCATCCTCCCGACTCACGCCACCTTGCAGGGAAATAATAGGTCCGGCCACACTGGCTTTCGCGTTCTGCTTTCCGGATGACTGAATTTCTTTGCTCGCCTCTCCTGTCGGGGACCATCTGAAACTGCCTCCAAGCTGCGTTCCCAGGGAACCCCCCAACCCCCACTCATTCCACTCGGGGACTAAAGAGCGACTCACTTCAACGTCCTCCATAAGATGAACCCCATCCCGGCTGGAAAAATCAAACTGGGGAAGGAAAAACGCGTTGGGGGCAAGGAGAACCGCTCCTGCAGACCTGGCCCCTCCTTGGCCCTAGGGGACCCCTGCCGATGCCCACTCGGTGCCACGTGGGGCGGCCCCAAGGGAGATGCACCATCCCCCAAACCAAGCGCTTTGGAAAAGAAACTGCAGAGAATAATAAGAAGCATGGGGGGGGGGGCGGGGGGCGGGGTGTGTCCGTGGAGTGATGAGAAAGCTGGTCTTTCATCCCTCCTTTTTTGGACATTCCTTAAGTTTAATCATTAAAGTGGTCCTTAAAAAAGAAGGCAGCAGCTTAACGCTGCTATTTCTGACAATCTGCCCCACACACTGTCAGCGAAGTGAAAGATCTGGATCTAGCTTTGTTGCTTCGCTACCAATAGCAGACTTGGGGAGACCAAACCTCCGATTTCTGGCCACATCAAAGCACTGATTATGCAAATACCCATTTTTTTTAAGAATAAAAGAAAATGGAGGGGGAATTATTTATCACACAATGAACCCCCTGCCAGGGCAGGAAACAATAGATCAGACCAGATAGCCCTTCTAGCCCCAGGCTGGGGGAGCGAGAAAGGGGGGTATTGGAGCCCTCACGTTTTATTGGTCTAACCTAATTTCACTAATTCTCTTTTCACACATTTCTTTTGCAGATTCGGAGGCCGGGACTTTCACGCTCCCGGGAGCGCACTGCATTGGCGCGATTCAAGAGCTGCCCGCTTTATTTAATTAATACATTCAAAGCTCGCTTGGGAGCCCGAGGGGGCTCGGGGAAGACCGAGGCTGGCGGTGAGGAGGAGGCGCTTTTAACCGGTTCCAGGTGTCGGTGCCCAGAAGTCACAACCAGCTCAAGGGTGTGCAATGCAGGGGGGTGTACCCAGCGGGTGGGGGCGCCGCAGCTCCCAGCCTCGCCCTCAAGCCCGGCCCTTTAGCAGCCTGTGACCCAGACTGGCGGGTGGGCAGCTGAAGCCGGCCTTGGGTCTAAACGCCCTTCCTGGGCCATCGGACTAGGCTTTGGGAAGTGCCGAATGGGTCCTTCCTCCCTCCTGGCCAAAGCCGCCCAGGGCCTTCGCCTCAGCTGGGACACCAGGAGCGCCCATCCGGCTCTGGTCCAGGTGCTGCGGGCCCGGGAAGCCTCAGCCCCTCCTCCTGCCTCCGGCTGAGCCTAGGTCCGGCTCCCGTGGCGGGCCCAGCGGTTGGCAGTCCGCCTCTCTACTTTTTTTTTCCTCCTTCTTGGCACTCAGATGGATGTATTTAAAATCTAGTGAAGGAAAAATGAGCCGTAACAAGGCCTGAGCACTTTAGAACAAATAAATACAGCCAGTCCCGGAACGCCGGCCGCGCTAAAGCGACGCTCCAATGAGAACAGGACCCACCTTCGCGCCTCTCCGCACTTAGGAAAACGCGCCGCAGCGCGCTAGCTGGCGTTGGAAAGATCTAGCAACACTGAGAGTCTGTGTCTGTCACCGGAAGAAAATCTCCACAGCGTTGTTTGAAGTGTCTCTCACCAGAGCCACCAGAAATAAAATGGCGTGGCTCCGAGGCCTGCAAACCTACTTGGTGCACACAGATGCAGCTCATCACAGCGCGGTCACAATGTCGGGAGGGAAATGAATAAAATGGAAATACTACCTTGTTGCCTACTGCAGAAGCAGCGGCTTTGACCCTCTAATTGTACTCATTCCTACTAGGAAGGGAAGAGAACGACTGGGCCTCAGGCCACCGGCTGTGAAGGTTGCAACGGATTAGGGGAGAGAATCTCGGCGCTGAGGCAGTCAGAACACCATTCTTACCCGCTTAAGATGATTAGATGCCATAAAAAATAATTGCGCCAATTTAGTGTAAAATAAGGTGTGTTCTAGATGGGGAAGGGAAAGCCTGAGTGTGAATTGCAAATGGCAGATGAAAGCCCGGGCACTTAGGATATATCTGCTTGTGTGTAATGGGGACCTGCAAGCTCCAGCTTTGAGAACTTGAACAAGACTCTGGACCTGGAAGAAGTGTGTAGAGTCCGCTAGGTCAAGAGTGAAGTCTGTATTAGCTGTATTAGTCTTGCTCAGAGCTAGGATTATTGAATCATCTATCCATCCCTGCCTCTCCACCTTAGCCATTAGGGTCATCTTTTTATGGGATGGCTTCACCAATTGAGAAGGTTTCCCATAGTTGGAGGAGTAGCTGCATCTGAGATTTTGTCATGAACTATTTCTTTGGCAAGTTTCCAAAAGAAGCACCATGTATCATCAAATGTATCACCAGAAGAAGCATTGTTCAGCACCAAAACTGATGTTTTCAAACTATCATATTACAATTCCTTTGCTTGCTGGCTTGGCTTTTTAAACATTAGAAACATAAATGTGAATATAAGAGAAATATCACTTTCTCCCCATGTCAGATAATCAAAGAGCAGCTAAGAGTAACACAATCTTTAAATTAAAAGGGATTTACCAAAAGGTATCTCATGCTTGGCTATAAAAAATGAAACAAAAACCCTGAGTTAGTTCTTCCTTTGATTAAAATGGAGTTATTAGAGAGGAGTGGTTTCAGATAGACACCTCAGGAGAAATTATTATTGCATTGTGCAGAAGAGTGGAGTATTTAGCCCAAACCAGATGCAGGTAAGACATTCGTGGGGAGGTGGGTGCTGTGAACGACCAAGTTTTAATGTGATATTTTTTAGCTTGTGTTGTCATAGACACTCTTCCCCAAGGGGATTAAGCATAGAATGTGGTCAACCTTCATTTGGTCATTTTTGACCCAAAGCCAATCAAAGGTCATTCATTTCTGCTTTGGAGATTGAGGTGCAAGTTAAACCATTTTTGCTTTCTCTTTGAAGAAGTTTTGACTATGTAATTGCTTTAACAAATATTGGGAAAGCGGAGCTATTTCTGTATATATTTTCAATTCCAGTTCACTCTAAATATCTGCTTTATTCTGGGAGTCTGCTTTTAAAAGCAACTAGCTTGTTAAAATGCCTAATAGGAAATCTGCTTCTAATAATGAATTTATACGTACTGTTACATCACAGATGTTAGAGCTGGAAAGGGAGCACCCTTGGAGGTCATGTCCAATCCCTTCAGTTTACAGATGAGAATTGAAGCCAAACGAGTTGCACAAAAAACAAATTTCTACACACTCCACCAAGAAATTTCAACTTCACTTTTTTTCAAATCAAGGTTTTCTGAACTTTGGAGCTTATCATGACTTAATTATCATTTAAATTCTTCTCCCCTTTTTTGCTTATCTTGTTTGCTCAGAAATTTATTTCTTAGAAATAAATTGTGTGTTTATCTTAAAAATAGAAAGTTACACTCTTATTTTCAATATTAGTGTCTCAAATATGATTCAGCTTTTTGTGATTTCTTAGTGATATTCTACACAAAGCATTGCCCAAAAATACAAGTACTATATTCAATTTGACATGGGAAGAATTTCAAAAAAACACAACTCATTTGGCATCTAAAAATCACATAAGCAAGAAAAAGGTAGAATACAACACACAAACTTATGAAAATTAGATAGTTTATTTATAGTTTAATCACAAGAACAACTTTCTTGTTCTTCAAGATGTAAATACATACTAGAATAAACTCTGTAGAATATACAAAAAATACATATTTTCCCATGAAAAATTTCTTTATAATAAATAGAAGGGAACACGTGTGTGGCTGATCCGGATAATGCTCCGTGTCTGCTTAGGTTTTCAGACTGTTGATTTATTTTTAATCTCTTGAAAGAATGGGGGAGTTCCTTCTCCCCTAAAAGGTCGAAATAAATAATACATGAGGCAATCCTCCCTCCTGATTTTTCCCTTTTCCTCCACATTTTTCCTTTTGATAGAGAGTTCAGCCTAAATTTCCACGCTTGCATTCAATCATTACAAAGCCTACAAATTATACAATGACTTCTAACCTGCCCCTCTAACAAAACAAGTTTTTTTCCCCTTATAAATCATAAGAGACAGATGGCAAAATGGGGAAGAAAAAGGAAAGAGAAGGACAGGACAATAGGCATTGTGACGAATCTGGGAAACAGAACAAAGTGCACATCAGAGAGGGAAGTTTGGTTTGACAGGTGAAATTCCCACAGCCTGCAGACAGCAATGGGAATAAAGCAGATGCCAGCCATTGCAAATCTGTGGATAATATTATTACCAGCAAAATCATTCAGATGCTAAGATACATTTCTTTCTACTCGACATTAACATCTCTATGTAGAAGCAAAGGTGAAGAGATCACAGGAACCAGTTGCATTCCCCCTGTGAGATTCACACGAACTGCACCAAGTCCTTCGGCGTTAAAGAGAAAGGGGAGGAGCGTCAGTCCGCTCTGCAAACTCTTTAGATATGCCACCATCATCTCTTCCCAGGGTCTTTTTCGTCTCAAGAAGCGCCCCCAAAACGCCACCCTTGGCTTTGACAATAAGCTCCATCACACCTTCAGTAAATCAGAGCCCGTCTGAATGAAGGATACCCAAAGCCAAGAAATGCAAGAAACAACCGAGGAATCAGAAAGGCTACACCTGCCCTGTGAAGTGAGATGGTTTCCAGGGCGTGGAAAGGAGGGGCAGGGGAAGGGAGGAGGGCTCGACTGGGGACAGGAAAGGGAACCCACTAAGGCCTGGCGTGGGTAGCAGAAATGGCAGCTCTAGATACAATCCCTGGCTATGGGGAGGTGAGGTGCATAGCGGTGCTTGTCGGGAGGTGGGGGCTGCCAATAGTCCATGTCTGACCCGGCCGGGCTGGCGGGCGATAAAGTGCAGCTGTAGGGGGAGGTGGAATTGGAGGACACGGAGGAGGACGGCGCGGGGCTGTTGGTGCAACTCCACGTGGAGGCGGGCGAGGGGCTGTCTCCGCTGCTGCTCAGGGCGGCGCTGGCTCCTCCCGGGCTCAGCAACACTGCCTCGGAGAAGAGCGCCCCCGGCAGGCCCCCGCCGCCGCCCCCGCAGTGATCCGCCAGGCGCAGGGTCTCGGTGAGTGCCCAGATGTAGTTGTGGGCGAAGCGCAGGGTCTCGATCTTGGTGAGCTTGGCGTCCTCGGGGAACGTGGGGAGCACCTCGCGCAGCGCGTCCAGTGCCGCGTTGAGGTTGTGCATGCGGTTTCGCTCGCGGTTGTTGGCCTTCAGTCTACGGGTCTTCTTGATGCGCTGCACCGTCTCGGCCGTCTTGGCGCCTCGGGAGACGGCCCGCGCCCGGGAAGGGCGCCGTTTGCAATCGTGTACCAGACCCAGCAGCCGTGCGGGCCGGCAGCCCTCCGCACCCGCAGCCACGCCGCCCCGCGCCCCCTGCCCGGCCTCAGCCCCGCGCTGCCGACGCGCCCCGCCTGACGCGCCCGGCTCCTCCTCCTCTTCTTCGTCGGCGCTGGATGACAGCGGGGTCAGGGCCGCCAAGGCGGGGGAGGCCGATCCGAGCAGCACTAACACGTCCTCTTCCTCCTTCAACTCCAAGGTCTCGGATTTGACGAACATCCTACCGAAGAGAGAAAGGGGAAAAAGGCAGTGAGGTGTAAGGAAAGAAACAGAGGCGCGATCTTCGTGTCACAGGGGCGTGCTCCGGCGCGCACCCGAGAAGACCAGCTCCGAATGGCGCGGAGCAGGAAGGCGAAGGAAGAAACCCAGGCAGTGCTAACCAAGGTCAGGAGCGCCGCTAGCGCTCGCTGTGACCCTGCTGCCAGTCAGCCGGGTCCTGCCCTCCGCGGGCGGTCCTGCGTTCCCTCCCCGAGAAGGGACTGCGGCCTCCGCGACAAAGATTCTGCGCGGAGCAGAGGGCGTGCGGGTGTGGTTGGACTGAGTGCGGGGAAACCACCTGCGTAGTTGGAAGCGGTGGCTCGAATACTTACTTAGTTGGCTCTAACTGTGCCTCAGCGTTGCTGTGACTTTGGCCTGTGCCGGGAATCTCCGCGCAGCTGCGAGCGCAGCGCCGGGTCCTTCGCCCGGCGTGAAAGCTGCAAGCCCGGCGCTACTGTGGCGCAGCTCCGCGGGGGACCTCTGCGACCGGCGAGTTTGCCAAGAGCCCCGGCGGCGGCGGCGGCGGCCCGCCCGGGTCTCGTGTGTTGTGGTGGTGGTGCGTGTCTGTCTGTCAGTCAGTCCCTGGCCGTGCGGCTCCTGGCACGCGACTCCCAGGCACTCCAGTTAACGCGAAGCTGCTTGTGGTTCAGTGGCTGCGTGTCTGGCACACGACTCTCCTTAAAACCCCTTATATACCACCAAGAAAACAATCAGATCTGCCCCGGGCCCCCTCCTCCCCCGCCACCGCCTCCTCCTCCTGTCAGTCCTGCCCCCCTTCTCCCCCGCTTTTCCCTCCTCTGGCTTATTCTTTTCATTGCATTATCATCATTCATTTCTTCCTCTTTCTTCACCGCCTTTCCCCCTCCCTTGGCCCTGCCATCCATCCTCCTCCTCCCACCACCCCCGCCTCTCTTTTCCCCCTTTATCTAATCAACATAAAATGGTTCTAAAGCTCCTGTTGGAGCTCCGGGCTGCGGCCGGAGCTGGCGAAGCCGCAGCGGCCGCAGAGGCTCAAGCTGCGGCTGTTGTCGCCGCCGCTGTCCATTGTGATTGGTGGCTCGCGCTCGGCTGGAGCGTGCCGCTAATTTATTAATGAATGGAGGTCGCGAGGCGCAGCTGGCCAATCAGGGCGCCCTGGACTCCGGGAGGCCTGCGAGCCACGCGCACCGGAGCCCGCTCCCTTTCAGCAGCTCATTAGGGGCCCGAGCGCTGGGGGCGGATGGGGGGACCCGTGCTACCGCCCCCGCCTTCGTCCTCGCTGCCGCCGAGGCTCCCCCCGCCCGGCGCGCGCGCAGGCACCGCACCCGGCGCTGCCGGCCCTCCTAACTCCCGGGTGATGGGAACTAGGAATTAGTTAATGGGGGTCAGAATCCCGGGGAAAGCAGTTAGCCCTGTGGTGCTGCCGGGCGTCTCTTGGCAAAGCCTCTTAGGGGTTGTATCAAATAGTAAACGATTTTAAAATGGATTCATTTGGTTAGGGGAGGAGAATGGCGTGGATGGAGAGATGTGGACACCTCGTGAACAAGTGTGTTTGGGGTCCGTCGAAACTGGCGTGGGAGAGTGAAGGGAGAGGACACTGGGGATTCAAACAGGCGTCTCTTGGGAGGGGAGGTCGGATAGGGGAGCAGTTGATGAGCTTTTAGAGGATGTGAGAATGAAATCACTCACATGTTAGAGCTGAAAGGATCCCCCTCATTTTACATACAGGAAACTGAGGCTCCGGGCACTGATGCAGGTTTTGCTGGGGTTAACCCAGTTTATAGCCTGGAGGGACAGCAAGGAGGCTTCCTGCGTGGGTGGCAGCGAACCGAGCGGGAGGAGCGGCAGAGCTGCTGCTCCTGCAAGCAAATGCGCTGCGCTGACATTTCTGTGACCTCTGCTCCGCGCTGGGGGGCGTTGTAGGGACAAGGGGCCCATCTTCCCAATTCTGCTTTTCAATGAGAAAAAAGAGCTGAAGGGCTACTGGACCTCGGGGGAAACTTGTTCTCAATTGCTCGTTAGCCCTCCCCACTTTCCCCACGTTCATGCCCACCCTCTTGTCGACATGGGGATGGATCCGGACTTCAGTAGACCGGAGTGGCGTCCCTTGAGATCCCCTTTGCAAATTAACTTTAGGCAAGGCACAGTTGGAGTGTTAGGAGTGGAAGAGTAGAAGGGAAAGAGAATGCTGTCTTCTGGTTTCTGTCTCCCTCAGTTTGTAGGACTTAGAAACAAGCTGTATTCCAAAGACGGGGTGGTTAAATTAGCTGTTAGTATTTTGGCATGGCTTTAATTTGTTTAATGTTTTCTTCAGGGAGGTAACAAGGAGGATTGGAAGGCACAAAGTAAAGAAAATGAAAATTAGAAACTTGTGAAAAGGAGCATTACCCATTGCAGTTCTTCAAACTTCAGACTTCCTTCTGTCTTGGAATTACTTGAAAACTATCATGATTTCCACTTTGCTCTTTGATGTTTGTGTTTTCATATTCTCCCTTTTTAAAGCAAATTCCCAAAATATAAAAGCATCATTTGCCAGTTTCCTCCTCGACTATTTTAGAACAGCTAAATTTCATGTGTTAGAAGTGCAGAAATGAAAATGAAAGAAGAAAAGAGAGACACTTTCAATGTTTCTAGCACACAACACCTGCCTCTCACATATCTTTGGGTTTCTGTCTATCATGAACCTGCAGAATCAGAACCTCATAAAAAGTCTGACCAAGCAAAAATTATGCTAGAAGTGCTTACCTTTGTTGCTGTACACATGAGCGTTAATTTATGGGCAATTATCACTGATACGAAACAAGAAAATACTCTTCTCATAGTCCCCCTAAAAGAAAACACTCTTCTCATAGTCCTCCTAAAAGAAAACCTGCCAAGGATGTGGATGTGTCCAGTCCAGTAGGGACTGAAGGAACATGTGGGAGCAGACACAGAATTTGTTTGTAAATTTGAATAAAATATAAGGACAAGAAAGCTAGGTTCTGAGGAAATGATCAAGACTTTTAAAAACAAATACCTGAATGATAGGAGGAACCTTGGTTTTTCAGTCTTTAGATATCTATATCGCTTCACAGGAGTTGCCTGCAAAGAAATACAAGCCAAAATAGATTAATGTAATGAAAACAAAGGAAAATTTATTTTAGTGTCAGTGGAGATACCTGTCTTTGGACACGTTGCTTTAAACTTTTGGTTTAGCTAGGAAGTGCTGGGTTGATTTAATGATAAAATATATTTGGGGGAAGAACAGAATTGGAATCCAGTTAAGTAGAAGTAGAGACTTAAAGGGAAACTTGGTGAGCCTCATATAACCCCAAATAACAATGAGATCAAGCTGGGTTTGATGCTTAGTGCCAGTGAAACACACAATGGATTTCTTTAGTTGATTGTTAACAGTATTTGGACATCTGACTCTCCAGTTTTTTTATTCTCCCAGGATTTTATGTTTTTATGACTCACTGAAAGGGCACATGTTTTCCTGTGACAAAATCCAAACCTTCTATACTGTCTGTGAGTGATAAGTTAATAATGCATATTTAAGTATATCCTACACAGATGCTTAGTAATGGTAAAATTGTATTAAGGTAAACTACACACTTCCTATTCTGGAAGTTTCCTGCAAAAGGAAAAACTATTCCAACAATGTCAAGAAACTTAGGATTATGTACATATTCAAACATTGCTATAAATCAATTTCTAATCACTAAACGTAAAGCCATCATCGGGTTTATAGAATTTTATTTTTTTTAATGAGGGCTTCTTTGGGCATATGCAGTGATGTATGTCCGATTACTATAAAAAGTACATCTGTAAATGAGAACACGTGGACACAGGGAGGGGAACATCACATACTGGGGCCTGCGGGGGTGGGGGGAAGAGGGCTGGGGGACAAGGGGAGGGAGAGCATTAGGACCAATACCTAATGCATGCAGGGACTTAAAATCTAGATTATGGGTTGATAGGTGCAGCAAACCGCCACAGCACATGTTGAAACAAACCTGCACATTCTGCACACGTATATCCCAGAACTTAAAATGTAAAAAAAAGTATAAAACAATTTTTAAAAGTACATCTGTTAAAAAAAAAAAAAGACGCTCTCTATATACCCTGGAACTCTTAAAAATTTTGGTTGTGTGTTTGTACTGTAGCCTTCAAGAGCTGACTTACACTTGATCACAGAGCATTTCTGAAAATATTTCTCACTGTGAAAAATATCATTTTTAAAAAGAAAAGAAACACCCAAGGACAACCTCATACAATCCAAAGACCAACTGTTCATACTCACAGTTGCCTAGATAACAGAATTGTATTTGTTCAGCATTTTGCTTAGTTTTGCAGGAAAAAGAAAGCAATTTCGATTTGTACTCAGCTTTGCGAAGGCATAACTAATGCCAAATATCCTTAGCTGTACTCTTCTAGCACTCTTTTAACTTAAATAAATTCAAGAGGCACTTGTGTGGTCTAAAAGATTGTCCAGATGAAACGAGGCTGAAATGTTCTGTGAAGGGGGAGGGGAGTGAGTGAATAGCATCAGCCAGGATGGTGACCGAGGGCCGCTCCTGTCCATTGCATGAACTGTCCTAAGGGGTCAAACTGTTCATCTTCAGCCCTTCTTTCAGTGCGGAATCCTACTTTAAGAGAACAAAAGCTCAAAGCAGACAGTTTTCAAGAAATGGGAGCACAATGATTTAAACTCATCCCCAAGCCTCAGAAAGAAAGGGAGCTGAGTGCGTGTAGTGAGAGACAAGTGGAGTAAGGGGAGGGGTGAGAGGGTGGGGATCTTTAGAAAGTCTTTGTTGCTTCTAAGAAGCTTGAACTTTGAGACGACCCAAAAGCCCTAAAGTTTAGGGTAGGTGTTGCTGTGGAGCCATAGGCTACATTCCCTCCACACTTCGACCTCACAAGTTGCGAAAGAGGACAAATGGTCGCCGCGCTAGTCCCTTGCTGTTGCAGGTGACTGTCGGGGGCGCGAAAGAGGGCGCCCTTCCCTGAGAGGACAAAAGCCAAGGTTTGGCTATCCAGCGAGCCTGTCCCCCAATTCACAGTAAACCACCGTCGGCCAAAGGAGATGGCGTGTCTACTCTCTGCTAAAATAACAAGATGAAGTACCTGACAAGGGGGCTTTGTAACCCAAATCCTAATCCTCCGAGTGAGTTCTCAGAAAGATGGAAAGATGGCGGGAAAAAGTTGGTAAATCCTAAACATCTTTTACATCAACGGTCTCTAGTTCTTCGCTGCAGGCTAGAAACGCAGCTTCCAGAGCAGGAGAGCCTGGTATGGAAACAATTAGCTTTCTCCGCAGAGCACCCCTTGCAACGCTAGGATTCGTTATTGATAGTGGTGAGCGCTGGGAATGAGTGTGAATTCGGAGTTTCTGACGGTCCCCTATCCGGGAGCCAAGGAAGCCAAGGAGAAAACAATGTAAATTCGCCCCGATCCCCAGTTACTGCATCCCACATGGTATTCTCGGTCTCCCCCACGTTTTCCCCTTGAATCCTGTCCGGGGAGGATTCGGCTTGAACCTAGCCCTGGAGAGGTCCCGGCCAGGTCACTGAACTGCGCTTCACTGCGCCAGCCCCTCCCCTTCAGTATTTTCATCGCGTCCGAGGAATCGGCATCCACCACAGCAGACAGAAGGCAGGGAAGATCATCCCCCAGGCCCCAAGCCCCACTCTAGAGACCCTGGCCCCAAGCCCGCACGACGTGCTCTGGTGCCTCCAAGCCAAACATTCCGGGATTCGGCTTGACACACAAGGTCAGTCAGCTTGCTAGCGCGGAATCGGCCCCGCAGGTGCTAGGAGGCTCACTTCCTTCTTCGCAGACGCTATACCCTATCCCCACCTGCTCTGGGGAAGGCAAAGCTCCGCAGACTTCTTATCCCTGAGGCAACCCGCTACCCAAATGTCCCTCTTCTTTCCCACGAAGGAAAGAAATTACCGTAGGAGATTTTGCCAATCCATGCCAGCTTTCTGATTGTTTTCTTCAGGTAAGGGGAAAAGAACAGCCAGCGCGTGAATGGAGAGCTGAGGGCCCACTAGGGAGAGAACCTCTTCCCCACCCTTCGGTGCCTGCAAAAAGGGACATTGGCTATCCAGGGGAAAGTGCAAGAAAGAGAGCACTAATCGCTGAACCAGGAGACAAACACGATTACCAGCTCCGAGCCTTGAGTCAGAAAGTCTCATAGACTTTAAGATGTTAATCCCCAGCATAATCCTTCCTTTGGCGTGTAGGAATAGTGCAGCCACAAGAGTTGTTTTGTTATTTATATTGGCGTTTAATAAAACTCAGCCAGTGGTGAATGGGCTGCCCACTCTCCAATGGTAATTAATTCCCTATTTCAGTGACCCAATTGTCCTGGGACAGAGCGGTGGGCCCGTCCCAGTGCCCCGATCCCCCTTTGTGCGGATACACTGCCCTCGTGCTTCAACAGCTATGGAAACTCATTCTTTTGATGTCATTCAAGGAGTTTTCCTTGGGCATCTTCTAAACTTCAAGGACCCTTTTCTTTCTGCGTTTCATGAAAAGCAGTGCGAGCTTGACCACCTCTGTAGAATTTAATGATTTGGTGAAAGGGCCCTTTGGGATTTGTGTAAGGAGTTAGACAGAGAGAAAGGAAATTTGGCAGCCTGCTCCCTCGCAGGGACCGTCCCTAACCTGGAAAACACAGAACTTTGAGAAATGGATAAAGATCTTGAAAGCTGATTTTCCCTCTCCTTTCCCCACTAAGGAAAAAAAAATACCCAAAACAAACAAAACAAAACTTAATTCTCTTCTGGAAATAAATGTATCGTTTATTGTTGCTGATACAAATTAAAAGGGTGATGTTGAGGTAAATAAGTTCGAATCTTTAGCAGAGACTCTTCCTTAATCTGTACCTTTTGGGAAAAGGATATCAGTTTATTACTTTAATTGATTCATTGAATCATTTCTCCTTCCTACATTCAAACTACACTTAATGAACACCCAGTGTATGTCAAACACTGTACTAGGCCCAGGAAACACCGACGCACAAGACGCACATTCCTACCCCCACAGAGCTTACATTCAAAAGGTATTAAAAATCGTTTTAGTGGTCGGGCACGCGGTGGCTCATGCCTGTAATCCCAGCGCGTTGGGAGGCCGAGATCGCTTGAGCTCAGGAGTTTGAGACCAGCCTAGGCAACAGGGCAAATCTGTGTCTCAAAAAAAAAAAAAAAAAAAAAAAATTAGCCAGGCTTGGTGGTACGTGCCTGTAATCCCAGCTACTCGGGAGGCTGAGGTGGGAGAATCACTTGAGCCCGGAAACGGGAGGTTGCAATGAGACGAGATCGCACCACTGCACTCCAGCCTGGGCAATAGAGTGAGACCGTGTCTACAGAAAAAAATTGTTTTATATATCAGAAAAGGATACGTGTATGTAACAATAAAACTGTGTAATGCAATAGTGTTGGGAGACGGGGGTATGGTTTATTTTCAGGGATCTAAAGATATACTTTAGAATCTAAAACATTGGGGGTTGACACTTATTGCTGATTTATCCATTCTTTCTTTCCCCCCGAAGTATTTCTCGAGCGCCTACCGAGTGCCAGGCGCCTAGCGAGGCGCAGCGTTAGCACCAGGCGCGAACCAGACAGCTGTGGCCTGCCTGGTAGAAACGACCCTGCGATAACGCAGTTGCTAGTACAGCTCTCGGCGGAGGAGCCAGGGCCGGGTCTCCAGGCCGGGAGGGGGCGGCCGCGGTGCGCCCGGGCAGCGCTCCCTGCGCAAGTAGTTCTTCTATGTCTTTACACGCACTTCCAAAAAAACTTCGCAAGTCACAGAAACAATTCAGAATTCAACTAAGAAAATACAGAGTGAACCATATGGCCTGGGTGGCTCGAGTCGGCTGCATTTTCCTCCAGACAAAGAAGGGATTGAGGGTTGAAGGAAAGGAGAAAAAAAACCAACTTTCCGGCTGATGAAGCTGTTGTCTGGAGGCAATGATCCCAAATCTGAAGGCTTTATTCCGGCTCCGACGGAGACGTGATATGTCATATGATTAGCATCTTTCATATTTACAAGAGTGGTATGGGCTGCCAATCTTGAGAGAAAGGCGAGAGAAAGAAGGGGGCATATGCTGAAATGGATTTAGCATTTGAAAGAGAGAAAGGAGATCGGATAAATACACTTAAACGAGGATTTAGTTTTACTCCTGTTGAGTTCTAATAGATTGTTGATTGAGATTTTAGGGGCCTGGAACCGAGGTGTCAGCAGTAATTTAAAGAAGGTATTCAGTCCGCCAGCGTCTCTTTTCTCCGTTTCCCCCTTCCACCCCTCCCACCCCTCCCTCATTTACGCCTTCAAGCAGTATGGGGGCGGAGAAGACTTTTAAAACAAAACACAAAACAAGATCTTTTGCGAGAGCGGTGTCCGAGGGAGCCGGAGCGCTGACAGGTGTGCAGGAGGCGCCCCCTACAGCCTGCTGCCCCTCTCGGGGTTACACTCCCTTCCTGCCGCACCTGAGCGTTTTCAGGACGCGCTCTGGTCCTGGAGGGCCGGGCCCGCCCGAGGGCAGCCGATTCACGGCGGGCGCGCTGCGAAGTCGGGGCGCCCCCTGGTGGGGCACGGAGGTCGAGGGGGTATCCTGAGAGCACCGCGGGGCTTCGGGGCCGCGGGGGAGCTCCCAAGACAGCCGGCCACCGGGGGACAGTGGATTTGGGGTCTCCTCGAGGTCGGTCCGGGGACGCCCTCTGGGAAGCTTCACCTGCGGCTCAGGTTACAAACGCACAGTGCCCAGCCACGTCCTCACCTGCAGTTTCAAAAGCCGAAAGAAACAAACACAAAACACCTCCCCTAGGGTTCTGATAGTTGCCAAGTTTAAGAACAACCGGATTTAAGCCCCACGGGTTTCGTTTTCTTTTGTTTTGAGGATTTAGCAAATCAGCTAGAAGTGACGCCAAGACCCAATAGGCTGGGGAAAAGGACTTGGTCTCCAGGCTCAAAAGGACTCAGATGCACTGAGTGGGTACAGACTTTGTGTATTATATCATGTCTGTACAGATGTTTTCTTTACGCACCCAGAGCCACGTTCAGATTCATTCTCCAGACTGCTTGTCGTTCCCCCAGTACATTTTAATTATCATCCGAATTGGTATTTGATGTTCATTTTTAGCTAGATGTCCCGAGTGTAAAACGTTGGGCGGGGACAGAGAGGCGTTCAGCATCATTTGCCTTAGGCCTTAGTTCATGGGTCCAGACACCCAAACTTCTATTTCCGCTCGCCATTTTCATCTGTTTCCCACTTGACTTTACTTGTCCTTAACTTCGTCAACAAATTACTGTGCTTTCCCAAGGATCTAAGGTAACTTAAGGACTTACCATTTTACCACTTTACCTGTTAATTGGAACGAATTTAAGTTGCCCACATTTATCAACAGTAGAGACTAATAATACATTATACAATAGTTTACTACAAAATTTTGGTAGTAAATGTATTTACATATAATTGCTACAATAACAAAATGTCATGCAGACATTAAAATTATATTTCTGATGGATATTTAATTTTTTAATCTCATAATGTTTAGTATGACCCCAGTTTATAGATATTTGTATCTAAATGATTGGACAGACATATAAGCTCATACATCCTAGAGTGAAAAATATATTCATAGTGGTTTTTTTTCCATTGAGTAGTGGTAAGTTAAGTTTTTATCTCTGTGTTTTCTAGGTAAATACTGGAACATTCATAATCAGAAGTTGTTATTTTTTAAAATGCCAGCCTTCTGGAGAATGCCTTTTCTTTTGTAGTCTCTGTCAAACATTGGAAGGAAATTTCAGTTCAGAGATGTCTGAAGTGGGGTAAGTTATATCGTAGAACTCATCCACAGTTAAAATTAAGGCCCCAGGAGTTGAGCCATTTGCACTGACATGGGATACTGTAATTTTAAGACAAACGTTTAAAACTCATTCTTGAACTATCAATGGAAACACTGTTGTAGAGAAGAGGAACATACATTGCAATTTCAGTATTCTTGTTAAATCAAAATTCCTGGGGCTGGACAGAGAAAGGAAAGCTCCTCAATGCTGGATCACATAACTTTTCAGAGAGATGAGACCTCATCATAGGGTTCTGGTGGATTTCTAAAGAAATACTTGATTTTTTTTGTTTGTTTGTTTTTGTTTTTTGAGACAGGGTCTTGCTCTGTCACCCAGGCTGGAGTGCAGTGGCATCATCCCACTCAATGCAACTTCCTCCTTCCAGGTTCAAGCGATTCTCCCACCTCAGCCTCCAGAGTAGCTGTAACTACAGACAGCACCACCACACCCTGCTAATTTTTGTATTTTTAGTAGAGACGGGGTTTCACCATGTTGTCCAGGCTGGACTCGAACTCTTGGGCTCAAGTGATCTGTCTGCTTCAGCTTCCCAAAGTGCTGGGATTACAGGCATGATCCTCTGTGCCCAGCCAGATTAAAAAAAAAAAAAAAAAGTCTCAAAGTAATACATTCCTTTATTTAATAACACTTGCCAGCGGGAAATTCTTTGTGTCTAATCTTTCTTAAATGTGTTTCTTCTTGACCTGCCCTCAGCCATAATTAAAAACTTTCCTTTTTCATTTTGTGCTTGGAAATATAGCATCTATGGCTACTGTTTTAAAAATAATCAGGATTCAGAAAATACTTGATTCTGAGTTTTGCTTTCCTATGTTGTTAGGCTTTTGGCTTTCTCTGTGACAGAAGCCATCTTTATCCTGAAGGACACAACTGTGGGTTTCTATTTAACTGCATTTTTATAGCACCAGTCACCACGCTGAAACTATGTTGTATTATTGTTGGGTGCATGAGACAGCAGGACTGAGAATAAGAGAAAGGAAAGGATTTGCAAGAGGATAATGGCATTCTTCTCAGCAAATTCTCTTTTTCTCCAGGGTTTTTATTTTTGAGGATTTGAGGCTTCATTTTCTCTTGAAGGAAGAAAAAGATTAATCTCACAATACAATAATGTACAGAAAAATCAAGATACCTTTCTAAGGCTATATGGTAAAAGTCTACTAAGAAATTTTGTAAAAACAAAATAGACTAGAAATAAAAAATAAAACTCTATGTCAATATTAACCGAAACCCAAACCCTATTAATATCCTAAGTAGAAGACAGCTTTCACCTTGTTTTGTTTCTTTTTCAAATTTCCCAGCTGGGGAGATTCTAATATGCCACTAAAAGGTGGAGAAAATTATAATTTTATTATCTGCATGAATTTGGTGAGTTCTTTCTTTCTTTATTTGAGACAGGGTCTCGCTTCTGTCATACAGGCTGGAGTGCAATGGCATGATCACGGCTCACTCACTGCAGCCTCGACTTCCCTGGCTCAGGTGATCCTCTCACCTTAGCCTCTTGAGTAGCTGGGACTACAGGAGTGTGCCACCATGCCCAGCTAATTTTTGTATTTTTTGCAGAGACGGGGTCTTGCCATGCTGTCCAAGCTGGTCTCAAACTCGTGAGCTCAAGAGATCTGTCCACCTCAGCCTCCCAAAGTGTTGGGATTACAGGCATGAGCCATCACACCCGGCCTAGTCTTATTCTTATACTTCAAATAATTTGAGTTACATTGGATTTGAGACCAACAATATTCTCAGAAAACAAATGATCAGAGGTTTAAGGAAATTGTATTAGGTTTCAGCGTGTTGTTTCTTAAGATAAATTTCTGGCCACCCAAAAAGTCACATGGTATTTTGATTTCTTCTCTGAGTCTTCCTTTGGCTCTCAGTGTCTTATAAAATTGGCATCAAGAATGTTGTGTTTCCAGCTGGGCATAGTGGCTCATGCCTACAATCTTAGCACTTTGGGAGGCAGAAGCAGGAAGATTAATTGAATCCAAGAGTTCCTGGATGCACTGAACCAGATGGTGCAACTGCACTATGGCCTGAGCAACACAGAGGGACTGTTTCTGAAAAAGGAGTAGTGCCTCATTGAAATAAAAGCCTTTTCCGGCCGGGTGCAGTGGCTCACACCTGTAATCCCAGCACTTTGGGAGGCTGAGGCAGGTGGATCACTTGAGGTCAGGAGTTTGAGACCTGCCTGGCCAACATGGTGAAACCCCATCTCTACTGAAAATACAAAAATTAGCTGGACGTAGTGGCTCTTGCCTGTAATCCCAGCTACTCGGGGGGCTGAGGCAGGAGGATCTCTTGAACCTGGAAGGTGGCCAGGTTGCAGTGAGCCAAGATCATGCCACTGCACTCCAGCTGGGTGGCAGAGTGAGACTCCATCTCAAAAATAAATTAAAAGCCTTTTCCTTCCCTCTCATCCCAAAAATTCAAAGTGCTTTTTTCTCCCTAATAAAATAGAGGTGAAATAAACCACATAGAATTTTTAAAGTAATAATAAGAAACATATGGATACAGCCTCCTAAGAATTCAGTAGTAATCTCTTGGTTCCAAGTATTTGGCCAAGAAAGAATATCTAGATAGTTATTTCAGTCACAACTTGCTGGCATTGGAATTTCTCTTTAATTTGATATTTAAGAAGATACGTATCTGCAGAACACAAAGTGATTTTTCTTTACTCGCCCAGGTAATTTAATCAGTGTGGAGAACCAAGTTAAAAGTTAGGTCAAGATAGCATTCATAGAGATGAAGACCATCACTTTTTCCTCCTCCTCCTTATTGGACAGTGTATAGTCTATGGCTATGGCAAGGCTGTGTCAGTGCTCTTGACAAGAGTGTTCTTGACAAAGTTATCCTCTAAAGGAATGATTTCTTTTGCAGTTTTTTCTCTACTTAGTCTTTCTCCATATTTTTAGGTTGCATTGGGTGACCAAAGGATTCAGTGTTTTTCTGGAGCACTTTTTTAGATGTTTATTTGCAGCTTATACCTTTTGAAAATTTGGAGGATATAGGGACTGCTTCTTGAAGAGGGGAAGCAAACCTACAATGAGCCAGCCACTGTACCACCTGCCAACCTTGAATATATTATTTAATTTTGTTTTCACACAAATCCCAATGAGGACATTATTGTCATTACCATTTTCACAAATGAGGAAACTTGTCTAAGATCACCCAGATCACAACTGCAGTCTAGGCCTGTCACACTGTATACCCAGACTTGACAATTTCAGGCTTGTGCCCTTTCCTTGAGGAATGTGTTGACCCTTCTGAAAGGGAAAAGATTCCCTGTGGCCTCATCAGTGCAGACAGTGCTATTGTTATTATAAGGTTATCTAAAGATGGACAAATATAAATCTTACTATAAACTCCTTGTTTTTATCTCTTATATAACCATGACAACCACAAAATTTATAAATATAAGTACAACTATAAAGCCAATTCTATCCAAATTAACATCAACTTGACAGGATAGATGTCATATATATATATATATATATATATATATATTTTTTTTTTTTTTTTTTTTTTTTTTTTTTTTTTTGAGACGGAGTCTCGCTCTGTCGCCCAGGCTGGACTGCGGACTGCAGTGGCGCAATCTCGGCTCACTGCAAGCTCCGCTTCCCGATGTCATATATTTTTTTAAATCACCTGAAGACACAACACAAATTTCATATAACCTGCCACTGTGAAGTTTCAAGTTTGGATGCCTTTAGTATGGCACCAGGTATATTGTGTGATATGCCTACCACTCCCCATCCACCTTTTTTGATACACCAAGAAATCTTTGTACAGTGTTATTTGGCTATCATTAAGTGTTGACTAATAATGTACATTGTAAGTTGCCATTTTTTTCTTATTGGCTGTTAAAGCACTCCGCGGAGCCAACATGATCAGAAACATAAATGTAAACAGGGCACTAAAATCTCACATTATTAGTGAGCACAGAGAATCTCTATGTCCCCATAGATGCCTGTTCTTAGATTCATAAACTCCACAGCAGAGTTGGGACCTACCCCATGAACTGACGATGGGAACACCACCTCCTGAGATCTTCAAGACATGCAATGAGGTAGATATATCCCAACAAGATTGAATGGGAATGTCTTTAATGTGACACTGCTACAGAAAAGACAGCCAGTGGTGTTCAACTAGCCATTTTCTCCTTTTTTTATGGTAGTTAGATCCCCATTTTTAGCTGGGCATGTGGCTGCCTAAGATAAAGACTACATTTCTCACTTTCCTTGCAGCTAGGAGAGGTCAGTGCAACCAATTTTAGCCAATGAGATGCAAACAGAAGTGGCACATGCAATTTCATGTCCTTAAGGGTAGGGGCATGCCCTCCTCCCTTGCTTTTCCTTTACCCTGCTGCTGAGAATATGGATATGATATATGGGTCTCCATCTTGGGTCGTGAGAAGAGGGGGACAGCCTGGAGACGGTGCAGCAGCGACACCATATCAGTTCTACATTGTTTACTTCCCAACTTATTTGCATGGGAGAAATAAACTTCTACTTGTTGAGGCCATTGTTATTTTGAGTTTTCTATCATTCACAACTCAATCTAACAAGCTCCAAACTCCCAAACGAATGAAAAATAACAGAGAGGGCCGGCCGCGGGGCTCACGCCTGTAATCCCAGCGCTTTGGAAGGCCGAAGGTCTTCCTGATCACGAGGTCAGGAGATCGAGACCATCCTGGCTAACACAGTGGAACCCCTTCTCTACTAAAAAAAAATACAAAAAATTAGCCAGGCGTGCTGGCGGGCGCCTGTAGTCCCAGCTAATCGGGAGGCTGAGGCAGGAGAATGGAGTGAACCTGGGAGGTGGAGCTTGCAGTGAGCCGAGATCGTGCCACTGCACTCCAGCCTGGGCGACAGAGCAAGACTCCGTCTCAAAAGAAAAAAAAAAAAAAAGAAAGAAAAATAACAGAGAGAAGGAACTCCTTTTGGTCTCTCTCTTAACATTACCTTGATTCCTAGATAGTCACAGGTGGCAATCTTGGTAATAGAAGAAAGTAAACTAGTGAACATCTTATGTGGTCTTCATGGCAGACTCAGTGGTCAGCAGAAACCTGATGACAGCAGAGTGGTCCAGCTTGTTTCTCCTGGGGGCGTTCTTCCGAGGATATTTGGGCTGCCTCCAGAATCGCAGTGTCTTGGGCCGCCGCAAGGTGGGTGACGTACGGATCTTCTGTTTTTTGTTTTTTGTGTGTGTTTTTTTTGTGGCCGTGGACACCCTTCAGCCCTGTCTTTTGGCCTTCAAAGACTTCGCCAAAAGGAGGGGCGGGAGCTTCCTTCGGCTTTAGGTGGGGCAGGAGCTTCCTTCTT
The DNA here is from genome assembly GCF_000001405.40 of Homo sapiens. Lineage (NCBI taxonomy): Eukaryota > Metazoa > Chordata > Mammalia > Primates > Hominidae > Homo > Homo sapiens. Next base: position 112,530,658 of record NC_000004.12, read on the forward strand.
CGCATTCGGTACCATCTTGTGAAAAACGTATACGAAGTTTTAACACAGGTAAAAGTAGTCTCTGGAGAGAGTGGATTAATGGTTACCTTGGGGAGGAGAGACTGAGTCACCCCAAAGGGGCCCAAGGGAACTTTGCGGGTAATGGAAATGTTCTCGATTGTGATGGTGGTTACAAAGGTGTACATACATTTGTCAAAATTCATCAAGATGTACACTTAAATTACGCATATTTTATGTACTTCAATACAAGTAGTTTTTAAAAAACAAAAACATATTTCTTAGGATAAATGGCCTTGAAGTCAGTGGTTCTGACACAGGTAGACCAATGATCACATATTGAGAAACAATATTAGAGGTGATGAGCTGCAATAAAAAAATTCTAATGTGATCATATTTGCAATGTTAGAAAAATCATTCTGGTGGGAAGAGTGACTGAAGACAATGAGTTGAAGAGCTTAGGGACATATAACTTCTGGGCATATGGGACATGTGAGATCAGTTATCATAAATGTGTTGTGGCACCCATCTGCACATTAGAATAATTTCCTCTAGAACACCCAGAAACCCAGGTGTAAGAAAATGGAAAAGGATGTTTGAATAAATCCAGAGTTTTATTAGCTGGAAAAAAAACTGCAGCAAGCCACTAATTTGCCAAGGCAGTTGAGAGTGCTTAAGCAGGATGATGTCTGGACAGAAAGGAAAAGATAAGGGAACTGATAGAATGTCAGAATAGCAATGAGTCAGGAAATGAGAGCTCATGAAGCCAGAAAGTGTGTGTAGAAGTGAGGGAGAGGTCGTGGTCAGCAGCATGTTGGAGTAATTTAGGGTGATGATAAATCTCAGATGACTTTTTTTTTTAAGTATAGACAACATGGAATGAGCTCTAAGATAGATATTGTTCAGTGAAAAAAGCAAGGTATACAACACTTTTTATATAGTAGTCTACCATGTAAAAGGGGGAGACCAGGCTGGGTACAGTGGCTCATGCCTGTAATCCCAGCACTTTGGGACACCAAGGCAGGAGGCTTGCTTAAGGCCACAAGTTCAGGCCTAGCCTGGGCAACATAGTGAGGTCTCTTCTCTACAAAAAGCCTACAGTGAGCTATGTTTGTGCCACTGCACTGCATCCTGGATGACAAAATGAAGCCCCATCTTTAAAAAAAAAAGTGAGACCTAGCATACTCACACCTATAATCCCAGCATTTATGATGCTGAGGCAAGAGAATCTCTTGAGCCCCAGCAAGGGCAACACAGTGATACCCCGTCTTAACAAAAAAATACAAAAAAAAAAAAAAAAAACACACAAAATTAGCCTGGCATGCACTTGTCATCCTAGCTACTGGGAAGGCTAAGTTGGGAGGATCACTTGAGGCTAGGAGGTTGAGGCTGTAGTGAGCTAAGATCATGCCACTGCACTCCAGCCTGAGGGACAGAGCAAGACCCTGTATCTAAAAAATAAAAAACAAAATAAATTAAAAAAATAAAAGCTGGTGGCTGGGGAGATATTTATATGCATTTACCTATATGATAGTAAGATATTTCTGCAAGGAAATACAGGGATCTTATAACATTGGTTGCTTCTGAGGAGGAAACCTGGGAGGCTGGAGGACACAGAGCAGGGGAGACTTTTTGCTGTATTCCCTTTTGTTCCTCTTGAATATCAAACCATGGGAATGTTATCATCTATTCAAAAGTATATAAGTAGAATTAAACAAAAATAAGGGGAAAGAGAATAGATGTGCCATAATGAATAAAAACGGAAAACAGAATGAGGTATTCATGCTTCAAGCATATAAATTAGGCACTGACCAGGCATGGTGACTCACGCCTTAATCCCAGCACTTTGGGAGGCCAACGTGGGCAGATCACTTGAGCCCAGGAGTTTGATTGCACCACTGCACTCCAACCAGGGTGACAGAGACACTGTCTCAAAGAAAAAATAAGGCATACATGTGAGCACATACTAGAAGGTAAGAAATAAACCCAGTTTGATTTGTTTTAAAATATTTAAAAGTATGCAAAACACAAAAGAAAACAGATCATCTGGACACAATAGGTTTTTTTTGTTTTTTTGTTTTTTTTAAACAGAGTCTCACTCTGGCTGGTGCCCAGGCTGGAGTGCAGTGGCGCAATCTCAGCTCCCAAAAGCCTCCACTTCCTGAGCTCAAGTGATCCTCCCACCTCAGCCTCCTGAATAGCTGGGACTACAGGTGCACGCCACCACGCCTGGCTAATTTTTTTTTTTTTTTTTTTTTTTAAGATGGAGTCTCACTCTGTCCACCTAGGCTGGAGTGCAGTGGTGCAGTCTTGGCTCACTGCAACCTTCACCTCCTGAGTTCAAGTGATTCTCCTGCCTCAGCCTCCTGAGTAGCTAGAACTACAAGCACACACCACCACAGCCAGCTAATTTTTGTATTTTTAGTAGAGACAGGGTTTCACCATGTTGGCCAGGCTGGTCTTGAACTCCTGAGCTCAAGTGATCTGCCCACCTTGGCCTCCCAAAGTGCTGGGATTACACACATGAGCCACCATGCCCTGCCCATTCTAGATTTTTATAACATTCAATAGTTAAGCACTTACTGAGCACCTACTGTACTGGTGCTGATCCCAAATTATAAATGCAAAACATGATTCTGAAGAGCCATTGTCGCTAAAGTTATGTATGTGGTTCCTTTACCAATATGTTGACTATTTTGTCCTTGGTCCCTTATATTCAGTCAGCTTGCCTAGGCAACATACATAGTGCATACGTCTGGTCTCATACAACAATGTCTAGACTCATCAAATTACACTGGACTGCTTGCTGTTCATTACACTTTACCTTATGCTCTAATTTTGTTCTTATGTGATGTTACCATGTTGCTCAGGAAGGTCATCATCATCCATTCACAACACTGGATAGGGCTCATAATACCTAAAAGGAGTCACAAACCTGTGGGAGATGTCAGCTGGTTACACATACATCCACAGCTGTGCTGAAAGACGTGGGATCTTTTTACACCTCAGAATTTGTTAACCATATTGTCTTCCCCACCAGTTACTCCCTTCCATTCACAACTATCCTTCTACCTCTCTGACCTACCTAGTCTTCAAAGGTCTAGCTTCTACTTCATACCCCATAGCCTGACACTGACTCTAGATATAAGGAACCTAAGGACATAGGAGACAAAGTATCGAGCTCCTGATGGCATCATGGTCATGTTAGCTCTTATTTAGAAATATATATTCCAAAAGAATGGGCAAAGGAGGCTGATTTTCTTGCTTCGAGTATGCCCCTAAGTTTTTCCATCAGGGAGAGCTCTACTTTGCCCCATGTCGGGGTGGAGTGGTACATAACTAGCTCTGCACTCCATGCCTGGCCTAACACATAAAACAAGCTGCATATGCCTGTTGTGCACAAAGGGCCAGCCACAGAGCAGATGCTCAATGGATGCACTGACTTTAATGGCACCACAGAAATAATTAGTTCTATTTCAAGAAGCCACAAATCCATCATAATTTGTCCAATGAAATGAACTATATCTGTCTTTAAAGAGGCTGGCTACCATAGGTACCCTAAAACTTTCACTTAGGAAATTTTCTCTACCAGTTCTTTAGCCTGCAAGGTGACTGCTTCCTGATTTTTCACACGTGCAAGCATGCACACATACATCTCCATTTATTATCAGGACCAGATTTGCAATAATTCAGACACTCACAGAGAATTTTTTAAAAATCAACCTAACTAGTGTTTCAGAATGAGAGAAACTTAGAGGACTGCAGAGATATTTGGATAGTATTTTTCCTTTATTTTATAATCAAGTCATGCTAATGTAAACCAAACACACAACTTGAACTAAACACACATTTCACTCATGGCTAATTACAAACCAGGGATTTCAAATCAGTGTTGATCTAATGTTTTTAGAACAATTATTTAATTTTCAAGGTCCAATATCTGTCGAGTAAATCACCAATTTCCAGTTCATTCTTATTTAATATAAACAAATCTAATTAGTATAAAGATATTTCACAGCTGTCTTTAAATTAAACCATAGTCAAGAACAAGCAGCATTTTGGGTTTGCTTTGGCATCCCAAATCAAATGTTTTTTGTTCAAATATGAAAGAGCAATACCAAAAGTTATGTTTTATTTTGAAGTTTTAAGCTAAGCTTCATAAATTCAAGTAACCTATAATTTTTCACAATTCAAATTTTGAATAAGGACAGGAGCTGGCTACAGAGGAAAGCAAAGTATATTATTTTTTCACCTACTTTTGAGAATTTTAAGAATCACCAGTTCAGCTATACATTTTTGTTAATAATATTTCTCTTGCATTAAGTAGCAAACTACATCTTATAGTAGCAAATGTAGACATTCAAGGAGAAATCAACAAACCCATTTCTCTAGTAAAAATTATATTTACCAGGAAGGTATAGACTGTTCAACAAATAGGCCAGGCACAGTGGCTCATGCCTGTAATCCCAGCACTTTGAGAGGCCAAGGCGGGCGGATCACCTGAGGTCAGGAGTTCGAGACTAGCCTGGCCAACATGGTGAAACCCCGTCTGTCTCAAAAAAAAAAAAAAAAAAAAAAAAAAATTGTTAATAAATGGTTGCATACTAAATTAACTAAGGTAAATGATCAGGACATTAGTCTAGTTGGGTCAAAGAGGACTGTAAAATTTTTGGTTTCGGTGTCTTTTACCCTTTGATAAAGTGACTTACAATGCAGGTGGTGCAATATAGCCTAGCCTGAGAGTTGGGTTAGCTTGGGTTCCAGCCCTGCCTGGTACTACTCATGGTAGATTAGGTGGATCACTTCAATTTTTCTGATCCTTGGCTTAATCATGTACAGAATGGGGAAAATACCTATCCCCCCCACTGGGGTAAATGAGATGTTTGTGAAAAAATCTTCAAAAATAAAAAAATCCAACACACATACTATATAAAGTAAGCAATTAATGATGAGTAGATTAAAGCTTAGAAATTTCATTCTATTTCAATTTGTGATACATAAACTAATAGACTTATTCTATAAATTAAAATCTTGACATTTTTATATAATCCTATCATTTACTGAACATGAGTTGGGAGACATTGTTTTAAGATTATTGTTATGTATAGATGTTTGATGGCTATAATTGTAAAACTGGCTTATTGAGTATATTGTAAAATCCTAAGAAATTTTAATATTTTGATTGTTATTGAACAGGATACTTCTTAAAGTTCAATTCATGTCTATCCAACCTTGGAATTTGAGATGACAAAGATAAAGAATGTGTTAGCCTGGGCTTTGGGGATTTTTTTTTTTAATGTCAAATATTGTTATCTTTTTCTTACTGAAAATAAATATAAAGACCATATTAATATTCAGGGTTCAGATAGTATGTTTTCACTCAAAATATATGATGGAGCCAAAGACAACTCCTCAATGGTCAACACCACCCAATCAGAAGAATGTTTTATTATTCTCTTTAAGAAAGATAAAGTAGATGAGCTCATCGATCTCCCACTCCCTTACTGGGTGTTTGAAGGAAATAAAAAAGTGAGAGCTGCTTCTCACCCCATTTCTGTTGTAAAAGTCTTGGGAAAAAGGAAAGAGTGAAGACTGTGCTCTAATGGACAGGGGCTGGGGCAAGAGCACTAAAATCTGACTCCTAGATATAAACCAGGCCTGCTGCAGCTGACATTACTCTTTGGGATGACATTCTGTGACCCAATCCAGGATGGTAAAGATTAAAACCAGAGACAAAACTATTAATACCATATCCACTGTGGAGTAAGGTCCACCCAGAGTGAAAGAAAGCCTCTCCATCTTCTTGCCCAGGTGGGAATCTCCGTCCTAAACCAAGAGAATGGGGGCAGCATGGAAACAGAGACTAAACCATTTCCATTTCTTCCCCTGCACCACCATTACTTTTTATTTTCTAAAGTGCCTGGTGTAAAAGAGTGTTTAATCTAGTCAGCTATGCAGGTGGGCTAGAAAGAATGGAAAGAATGGTTCTGCAAAAATCAACATTTTCTATTAATTGAGTTTTAGTTTTCTGTTACAATATGCTATAAATTAGAAAAAGGGAAATAATAGCTATGTATAAGATAGAGCTAATCCCTTAGCAAAAAATAGTAGCATCGTATATTATCAATAGTATATTATCAATCTCTTTGCCACTTTCTACACCATAACATTTATACTAACTTCTTATGTTCTAAACAAGAGGAATATTGTTGAATGGGAAGTTCTTTTAAAGATTTCAATGTGTTCCTGTTTAAAAAGGACCCAGGCGTGGTGGCTCATGCCTGTAATCCCAGCACTTTGGGAGGCTGAGGTGGGCAGATCACCTGACGTCAGGAGTTCGAGACCAGCCTGACCAACATGGTGAAACCCCCCCGTCTCTACTAAAAGTACAAAATTAGTTGGGCATGGTGGTGGGCACCTGTAATCCCAGCTACTCGGGAGGCCGAGGCAGAAGAATCACTTGAACTTGAGAGGCAGAGGTTGCAGTAAGCCGAGATCGTGCCACTGCATTCCAGCCCAGGCAACAGAGCAAGACTCTGTCTCAAAAAAATAAATAAATAAATAATAATAATAATAAATAATAATAATAAAAAGGCTCCAATGGGCTCTGTCACATTAAAATAACTACGAAAACACATAAGATAAATATTTGACACTCCTAGCTGACCTATTGTCACAAGTTGGGAGGAATAGTAATGAACTGCTACAATGATATAACTGGATTGAAAATATAAAATTGATACACTACATGTATAATGGCATTAGAAACAGAGTAGGCATGCTCGCTTAAAAATAAAAAAGACCCTTCTCTCCTTTATTAAATATCAAACATACAAGATTTATAACTACCAAAAAATAAGGCAGCTATACTTTTAAGTGCAGTTACTGCTTTCTGAGATTGCTGGAATGCTGAACCCACCCTCTACATCAGAATATTTGGCAATGTCTGGAGCCATTTTTAATTGTCACAACTTTGGGGTAAGGTGCCACTGGCATCTCATGGGCAGAAGCCAGTGATGCTGCTAAAGGGCACAGGACAGCGCCCCCATAAGAAAGAATTGCCTGGTCTAAAAACGTTAAAAATGCCGAAGTTGAGAAATCTTACTCTATACCATCAAGACCTCTCCCTATTATCATAGTAGAAATGGAAATTTCTGGAAAACTGACAAAATGAGAGATGAAGGGAAGGGAGCAATTAATGACAGCACAGGCACAAGTGCAGAAGATTGAGCAGTTCTAGATAAAAGCTAGTAGGATTTAGACTAGGAATTGTGCAAAATCAGTCAGCCATCCCGCTGTAGATCTGAGACAGAAGTTCAACTATCATCCAAATGAACAGTAAGTGAAGCCAAGGGCAATTTACATCGTGTTTACGTAGCTCTCATAAGTGTATGTAACAGAAATATATCCTCAGATATACAAAACCTCAAAAGATATATAATCTATATACTCTTTCTGGGGAAAATAAATTACTTGAGACCTAGCTCCAGCTGGCCAACAGACCAAAATTAAGAAATAAAAAATAGGGAGGTCTGGGCAGCAAAACTCAGGAATCCAGTTTAAATGTATGTTGTCAGTTAGATTGTACAGTTCATGGGTAAGGCGCGGTTCTGTAATACTTCCTTCAACTATTCCTCTGCTTTGTAAGGATCTGTTGGAAGTCACATCTTTCACTTCACAGTTTGGATGAACACTTAAAAAAGCAACTGTTGTTGCACGCAGTAACACATTTGGGAAAAGGCTTGGAGAATTACTAAACCACAAGTTTTGTTGTTGAATTTATTTTTTTCCCTAAGAGTTCCATAGAGACTGACTAGTCATATTCTTTTTATTGTGAAATAATTCAAGTAAGAATTTTCCTGCATCTTTGAAATGAATATTGAGTGACTTGGGTCACTAAGATTTGTTTTTAATTGGTAAAAATATTGCATTGATATTAATTATAATCAAGCACTTGTCATTTTTCCATCCAGGATGTATAAACGCTCTTTTGTTAATAATGTCTAAGAATCAGTGTGGACACAAATGGCTTAAAACTTAACTACATATATACACATAGAATATAAACATAGAAAAAAGACTAAAGGAATATGTTAGTGATTATCTCCAGGTATTGTATTTCTAGGTGATTTTTGTTTTCTGTTGTATACTTCCTTGTATTTTGCAAATTTTCTACATGAAGAATGTATTATTTTTATAATAAAAAGTTGTAATCCATATATATATATATCAATACCTACTATGCAAACAAATGCAGAGGAAAAAAACTAGAAGAAAATGAACCAAAGGTAATCTTTCATTCATCTGTTCATTCTTCCAATGGATACTTATTAAGCACCTACTATATCAGGTATGGGTGCAAGGCACTAGCCATGGTCAGATGTTGAACACTGCTATCTCCAGGTGTAAACTTTTGGTGTTTTTCTTTCTTCTTTTGCGTACTTTTCAAAAGTTTTAAACATAAAAACATATTTGTGAATATGTTTTCATTTATAAAATAGGGAGGCCTTATAATCATTTAAAAAATATTCTGATAAACTTTAGAAAGGTGTTGGTATATCTTATTCTGTACATATGTTCCAACAGATGAGTTCTGGAGACATTCACTTGTTATTGAAGTATACAGGTATTCTCTATAACCTGCCCCTTGTAAAATTCATTTCTTTGGCAAACAGAAATCATTCTTCTTAGAAAAAAGCTTATTTTTATTAGTAGGATTTTATACTACCTTTTGTACACTTTTTTGAAGAACAAAATTTTTACATGTGTTTACTATGTTATTTAAATATCATATTTTTAATAAGAGGGTTTAGAGTAATAAAAATATAAAAAATATATCATGTAAAATGAGTCTGAATTTACATAAATACAAAATATTTACACCATGTCTTTTTATGAATGAGATTTATCTTTAGATTTCTCTTTTTCACTCTTTTTCTTCTGTTTTTCTTCCACTTGTTTTTCAAAATAATCTTTAAGGAGATGGTTCAGCTGTGGTTCATACTGGTTTGCATGTTGCAATCCATCTTCCCTTCCTTAAAAAAACATACGACATGAGACAACTATTCTTTATTTTACAGAGGTCCCAATATTATCATGTCAGTTACTTCCCCCAGCAGAGCTGTTCCTGCTTGAAGCACCCCAAGCATTAACCCATAAAAGTCAGTTTGAACTTGAAATGCATGAATTAAACCCATTTTTATTTTACCTTCGCAGTGTTGGATCACTCGTCCCCAAAGTTGATTTTTCCTCAAACAGGCTAAATTTCCCACAATCAACAAATGCCTCTTTCCTCTAGTCAATGCAACATTCATTCTTTTTTCTGAATCAATGAATCCTACTTGTCTTGTCCTTACACAGGACAGAATAATGATCTCCTTTTCAGCTCCCTGAAAAGCATCTACTGTGGACACCTGCACAGTTTTAATATCAGGATGGTGAAAGTCCACAGCACTGAGTAAATGACAAAGCTGTGGAAGAAAAAACAGCAATCATGTAGTAAGAGATTGTGAAGAACTTAAGCCTCTGAACCTGCTCAAAGCAACCACTGTAATTTAACTAATAGTAAATAATTTTCATTTTTCTTTTATGACTCACATAGACTTGGCTAGTTTCTAAAATGATAGATAAATGACTAGATAAAAATATTAATTATGACACAAAATCAAAAGCAATTTATCTATTGCTGGGTAACTCATTTGGATATGCTAATTTGGAGCTGATAAACTAATAATGAAACAGATAAAAAATACTAAGAGAAAAATCTAGTTAGAAGTAATTGGCTCATGTGTACATTAATATTTGGTATCTATCCTTGATTTACTGATAAAATGTACCAATAATAAAAGAACATTTTGGATAACAGAGATTCAGTCCCATCTGTCTACAAAGCATACACCATATTTTCTTCCCTCTAATTTGCTTTTTGCATTTTTGCCGCAACAGCTGTAAACTAAATTTAATTAAACCTTGTTAGGTTTACATTTAATTATACAGAAAAAAAGCCAGACCAGAAAAAAATCAGAATGTTTCTTTTTTAATATATTAATTACAGTACCAAAAGTTTTTCAGGCACCAAACCAACTACTATAAATGTAATATCAAATATGGTAATATGTAATTGTAATATTTAATATATGGCAAATACTGTAATACATAATACCAACCTTGTACATCTGGGATTTGTATAATGTTATCACACCAATCATAGAGCCTGCTATTCCACTTGCAATCAGTGATTGAATCAGCTTGAGTGTAAACGTAGCTTCTGCCACATTATGAAAGCTGTTATCTCTTTCTATCTGGAGTAAGAAATAGATCCTAAATTATATTTCCCAGAAAGGCTATGGAAAAACCAAGTAAAATCATACAAACAACAACAAAATTAAACCAGGAACCTAAACCATGTTGACTCTCATCAACATTAATGTCATTTACCTGTTCTAGTCCTTTAACATTATAAAAACACAGGGTTGGTAGCCATTCCAATAAAGGGCTCCGCTCTATTTCTGTTACACCATTCATGAGGGCTCCTTTGTAAAACAGATCATTAGCAATAGCACTGATTGCAGGATGACAACGGTATTGAGTTCTCAATAGAATTGGCTTGTGACCCTAAGAAATTTAAATGAAGAAAAATAAAACATAATTTTTTTGTTCTTCTAGGGAAAGAAAATTATATTTTTAAAATTAAAAATATCGCTATATTATGGTCTTAGGAGATGAATTACAACCATGATAGAATAGACTATAAATAAAAATATTTTTTAAATTACTAAAAATATGTTCATATTAATTTAGAAAAATTAGAAAATATAAAAGACGTCAACCTTAGACTTATCTAGTAAGTTTGACTCCTAACATTATGGTTTTTTGTTTTGTTTTTTTTTTTTTTGAGATGGAGTCACCCTGTCGCCCAGGCTGGATTGCAATGGCATGATCTCGGCTCACTGCAACCTCCACCTCCTGGTTTCAAGTGATTCTTCTGCCTCAGCCTCCCGAGTAGCTGGGATTACAGGCACCCACCATCATGCATGGCTAATTTTTGTATTTTTGTAGAGACGGGGTTTCCCCATGTTGGCCAAGCTGGTCTTGAACTCCTGACTCAGGTGATTCACCTGCCTTGGCCTCCCAAAGTGCTGGGATTACAGGCGTGAGCCACCACGCCTGGCCAACATTATGCTTTTATAATATATCTGGAGTTGGTCTAACACTAAATTGAAAAGCATCTCTTAAAAAATTAGGAGGTGTCGTAAATATCTCGTTAACTTTCCTCACTGAGTAAAAGCCATTTTTCATTCTGAATCTTGAAAGAAGTTTCAGATTTTATTAATGCATCATAAAATCCAAGTCCTATCTACTTTAACGCTCTTCGAGCAAAAAGTTCTGTAGTAAATAATGCTCACGCCAGGCGCAGTGGTTCAACGCCTGTAATTCCAACACTTTGGGAGGCCAGGGTGGGAGGATCACCTGAGGTCAGGAGTTCAAGACCTGCCTGGCAAACATGGTAAAACCCCGTCTCTACTAAAAATTTAATAATTAGCCAAGCATGGTGGCAGGCACCTGTAATCCCAGCTATTTGGGAGGCTGAGGCAGGAAAATCGCTTGAACCCAGGAGGCAGAGGTTGCAGTGAGCCGCTCAAATGTTAAAGAAATGACTAAATTATGGTATATCTGCACAACATAATACTTAGTGATCAACATATTTATGACAACAGTAATGATTACAAAGCTAGTAGTAACAAGGGGAGATGATTTACTAGTATGCAAAGTTCAAAAAGGCAAGAGAGAAGTTATATTTACGGTATGGTTTCAACTATGTACAAATACATACATTTGATATAGGCATATAACCCTAGGATAAAAGATGGAAGGAAAAATACTAAAATATTACCAAGAGTTTTCTCTTAAGGGCAGTGAAGTTATTACAGATGTTTTTGTTTTGTTTTTACCTTTTTTCTTTCTTTTTTGAGACAGGGTCTCGCTGTTGCTTAGGCTGGCCTCAAACTCCTGGGGCTCACACGATCCTTCTGCCTCAGCTTCCTGAGTAGCTGGGACTACAGGTGCCTGACACCCCACCCAACTTTATCTATTTTTTTCTTTTCTTTCCTTTTCTTTCTTTCCTTCCTTCCTTCCTTCTTTCTTTTTTCTTTTCTTTTCTTTTTCTTTCTTTCTTTCTTGTTTCAAAGAGTCAGGATCCTGCTCTGTTGCCCAGGCTGGAATGCAGTGGTGAGATCATAACTCACTGCAGCCTCGAACTCCTGGATTCATATGACCCTCCCACCTCAGCCTCCCAAGCAGCTGAGATTATAGATTATAGGCATGAGCCATCACACCCAGCTTGCCTTTTCTCTTTTCTGTAGTTTCCACACTTTCTATAATGAGTAGTGATTACTTTTATTTCTTTTACTTTTAATAATTGTGAACTAGTTCAAATATACAGAAAGCAAAGAAACAATATTATATCCATGAACTTACCACCCAGACTTGACATTAGCCATATTAAGTCATTTTTGTTTTGGCTCTCTTTTTTGTTAGATAAAATATGACATATATAGCTAAAGATCCCCCTTCATTGCTTTCTTCTACCGCCTTTCCCAGAAATAACCCCAGTCCTGATTTTGTTTTGTGGACTCATCATACATGTTTTTATATGTTTATTGTATTAGTATGAATCTATGAATAATATATATTATGTGCTTTTGAAATTCTCGTAAATGGCATTTTACTATAATTATCCCTTTGTGCTTTGTTTCTTTCAATATCCACTATGTTTCTGAGAACTATCTATATGGATCAAGCTCATTCATAATTGTTTTTTATTCTACTCTGCGACTAAATCACTTTTTTGTCCATCCCTTATTTGCCCTTTTAGAATTCCCCCAAATAAAAACCTACTTCATATTTTAAAAGGCATTGAAAATAGGTACATGAAAAAGGGCAGAACAGTGTGCAGAGTACACTACCATTTGTTAAAACAGGGAGGGAAAATGTTATGTATTTGCTTACAGGCATAAAATATCACAAGAAAGGTACAAGAAAGGAATGACAGTTTCTTTGAAGGGGAGAGAACGAATGGTTGGGGGACAGGAGGAGAAGTCTTCACTATTTCCACGTTTTTTGGTTCCGCTTGAATTTTGAACCATATGACTATATTACCTATTCAAAAATGTTTTAAGAATTTAGATAACTTTTTATTTAAAAAATTTTTTTGGTAGAGGCAGGGTCAGAGCTCCGGTGCCAGAGCTGGTGTTGAACTCGTGACCTCAAGTGATCCTCCCACCTCAGTCTCCCAAAGTGCTGGGATTTACAGGCTGGAGCCACCATGCCCAGCCCTTTTTTAAGATAATTTTTTTTTAGTTAAGATTTTTTTTAAAAAGCCATTGAAAATGTCTAATACAAAAGAGGTTGGATACTGACTTGTCATAGAAGAAGTAGAAAGTTTTGCAATTAAATTCAATTACAATTAACAGCTCAAGACAACTGAAAGCTTCGTTCTTTGCAAAACGGAATACAATTCAACTCAAAATTCAATGCAACTTGAAACTCAATCTAAGGTGGAACTTCTTAATTAAGAAGGTAGAATAAAGCTGCCTTGTAGAATCCATTCTCCAATATATAAAGGTACAATAAATACAAAAACAACAGCAAAGAAAATTCAGCAATTATGCAACAAAGAAAGATTTACAGCCAACCCAATGCCATAAACTTAAAAAAGTACTTGTCATTGAGAAAGAAACAAGATTCTGGGGTGGAAGTAGAAAATGCAGCATAGTGAGCCAGAATTCATATGATGGCAACGGTTCCTAAGAAGAATAACGAAAAAGGGAAAGTGAACTTGACAGTTTTTAGTAGAATTGAAGGCTCAAGAACTGTGTCCCTTTCCCAGAGAAGGGATACTCTTGGGCCTCAGATGTCCTGTCACTTTGATGGGACACCACCATAATTCCAGGTACGGAGAAAACAGAGAATACAGATCTGAGAGAGTATCTGACATTCAAGCATGAACACCAGAAAATGAAACAAGAATGGCAACTATACAAACATAGTGTTTATATAGTTGTATAGTTTGTATAGAAACAGTGTTCTCTCTTTCTCTGCCATGTGAGGACACAGCAAGAAGGTAGCATCTACAAGCCAATGACCAATGGAAAAGAATAGAAAGTCCAGAAATAAACCCTTGTACATGTGCTCAACTGATTTTTGATGAGGGTTCCAAGACAATTACATGGGAGAAAAGGATAGTCTTTTCCACACATGGTATTGGGAAAACTATATATCCACATGCAAAAGAATGAAGTTGGACCCTTATCTCAAACCATGTACAAAAATTAACTCAAAATGGATCAAAGACCTCAACATAAGAGCTAAAATTATAAAATTCTTAGAAGAAAATATTGGGGAAAATTTTCATGACATTGGATTTGGCAATAATTTCATACCTATAACACCAAAAGCACAAGCAACAGAATAAAAAATAGGTAAACTGAACTTCATCGAAATTAAGAACTTTTGTGCATCAAAAAACACTATTAAAGTGAAAAGACAACCAACAAAATGGAAAAAAAAATTGTAAATCATATATTTGAAAAAGGATTAATTTCCAGAATATATTTAAAAAAAAAAACCTCCTATAACTCAACAACAAAAAACCAAACAACCCAATTAAAAAATAGGCAAAGGAGTTGAATAGGCATTTCTTCAAAAAGAATATAAATGGCTAATAAGCACATGAAAAGATGTTCAAGATCATTAGTCTTTAGGGAAACCACAATAAGATACCCCTTCACACCCATTAGGATGGCTATGATATTCAAAAACCAACAAGAAGTGTTGGTGAGAATGTGGAGAAATCAGAACACTTGTGCACTGCTGTTGGGAAAGTAAAATGACGCCGCTGCTATAGAAAAAAGTTTGGTGGTTCCTCAAAAATTTAAATGTACAATTATCATATGACTCAACAATTATACTTCTGGGTATGTATTGAACTGAAAGCAGGGATTTGAACAAGTATCTGTATATCAATGTTCACAGGAGATTTTTCACAAGAGCCAAAACGTGAAAACAACCCAACTATCTATCAACAGAAATGTAGTACACACATGCAATGGAATATTATTTAGCCTTATAAAGAAATGAAATTCTGATACATGCTACAAGGATGAACTCTAAACACATTATGCTAAGTAAATAAGACAGACATAAAATGACAAATACTGTATGACTCTACTCAAATGAGGCACCTAGAATAGGCAAATTCACAGAGCTAGAAAGTAGAACACAGGTTACTTACTAGGGGCTGAGGGAAGAGGAAATGGGAAATTATTGCTTAACAGTTCAAAATTTCTGTTTGGGATAATGAAAAAATTCTGGAAATGGACAAGTGATGGTTGTACAACATTATGAATGTACTTTAAAGTAATAATAATAATAATAATAATGTAGTACCAATACATGCTGCAACATGAATGAACCTCAAAAAGTGAAAGAAGACAGACACAAAAGGTACATATTGTATGATTCCATTTATATAAAATATCCGGAATAAATAAATCCATACAGAGAGAAAGCAGGCTGGTGTTTGCCAGAAGCTATAGGGAAGAGGAAATGGGCAGTTAACTGCTAAATGGGTAAGAATTTTATCTTGAAGTGATGAAAACATTTTGAAACCAGACAGAGGTAGTGGTTACACAAGAAACTGTGAATGTACTAAATGCTACTAAACTGTTCACTTTAAAATAGTTTCTGCTATATAAACTGCATGCTGTAAAGAAAAAAAAGTTTTTTTTAAGAAATTTAAAAAATGGTTTTATGTTAGATGAATGCAATGGTTTGAATGTGTCCCTCAAATTTCATGTGTTGGAAACTTCATCCCCAATGCAACAGTGTTGAGAGGTGGGACTTTCAAAAGGTGATTTAGGTCATGAGGATTCTGCCTAATCCTCACGGATTAATCCCATTATCACATGAGTGGGTTCCTCATAAAAGGATGGATTTGTGAATGGATTAATGCCATTCCTGGTATATGTGTGTGGGTTAATGGATGAATGCCATTATCACATGAGTGGCTTACTCATAAAAGGATGAGTTTGGCCTCTCACACTCTCTTGCTCTTCTGCCTTCCACCACAGGATGACAACGAAGCAAGAAGGCCCCTGCCAAATGCAGGTCCCCAGGTCTTAGACTTCTCAGCCTCCAGAACTATAAGAAATAAATCTCTGTTCTCTATAAATTACCCAGTCTCAGGTTTTTCTGTTATACCAGCACAAAATAGACTAAGACAGTAAATTCAACCCCAATTAAAAAATGTTAATAATTTAAAAATTATTTACAATGTGAAGTAGTGCTCTAGGTAGATAATAGAGACATTATAGGTTTTTTTGGTTTTAGAGCAAAAGTTATATACTCCTACCCACTACTCAAATAGTGAAAAAATTCTTTTTATAAAAGGGCACTTAAATTATAGGGTTCCACTTGTCTTTAAGATGAATACTTACTTTCCAGACAACTCCAATTATACATTATTTTAAGGCAGGACTAAGTCTTCTAATATTTTCATTCTCTATCAACACACACACACACAATGTAGAATCAATAAATGATAATTCCGTAAGAATTCAGCAGTATGTACCATTAAGCAAAGTCGATCAAAAAGAGTTTGTTCCAATCCATTTTCATGAGCTGCATCAGAACCCTGAATAGTAGGAGGTAGCTGTTTGGGATCCCCAACAAGAATCAGCTTTTCACACTCAAACCTAAAACAGAATTTCAAAAATTAATCTAAGCAATTAAAATGGGTGCATTAACATCATTTATTGCACTGTTTGCCAAAATTGCACTTCGAAATATTCAAATGCCATGAAGTATCCTGAGTACTAATAAAGCTTAGTAGTGCTATTAAGCGCATTAAAGGCTTTGAAAAGTTATGCAATAAAGAATCCTTTATATAATTTAGTTGCCCTCCCTGCACATAAAACCTAGTAGGTGCCCCTTGCCTCTGCATGGAATTAATATTTCACAAAGCATATTTGGGAAATGCTGGTTTTTAGAATCCATAAACTCTTAAAATTAAAGTCTTTCTTAGGAGTCATTTAGCTTAAACCCTTGTTTTAGAAGTGAAGTAAATTGGGTTCTTAGGGGCTAAATGTTTTCCTAAATAGGAGTAGGATATAGTGGGGAAAAATCAAAGTTTTATAAACAAACCTATATCAAATCTGAACTCCATTATATTTTAGAGACCCAGCAAGTTATTTAATCCTTTCATGCTTCAGTATTATTATTCTTTTTCTTTTTTTCTTTTTTTTGAGACGGGGTTTTACTCTGTGTCATCCAGGCTGGAGTGCAGTCGTTCAATCCCTGCTCACTGCAGCCTTGACCTCCTGGGCTCAAACAATCCTCCCACCTCAGCCTCCCAAGTTGCTGGGATTTTAGGCACACACTACCATGCCCAGCTAATTTTGTATTTTTTGTAGAAATGGGGATTCGCCATGTTGTCCAAGCTGGTCGCAAACTCCTAGACTCAAGCAATCCACCTGCCTCAGCCTCCTAAAGTGCTAGGATTACAGGTATTACCCCTGGGGAAAGAATCTTTTAGGTTACCTTGCAATGGGAAGGAGAGAGGCCGGTTCAGTTATCTGACTACACTCATCCAGCACAACTACAGGAAATTTAAGATCATTCATGCATGGGAATGGGCAGGCTGCACAGGTAACTCCAACTACTCGAACCTTTATTACAACAAAAATGTTATTAATTAACAATTATTAAAAGAAAATAAGAGAACGTATTTACCAAAGAACTTGTAGGCTAAAATTAGAGAGTGAGCTAGTCCTAATTTAATTCCTAGCCATCAGAAATCTTAGGTCATCGTATCTCCAAATTTTTATTATTCCTACATACAAAATGGAAATCAACAAATGTAAGTTACTTAAGCCACAAGCCCATTAACAAGAACAAATAAAAGACATATTTTGATATTCAGACGGAAAGTATCACAATATCAAGCATTTGTTAAACATCTAGGATGACGCACATATTTTATCTTCTAGATGAGGTTAGACAACATACATTATATCAACACAGGCCAAAGTTCTTCACAAAGAATATTAAATATGCTAACGAAATATTCTTTGCTTAACCTTCAAGCACATTAGTTTTATTTATTTAAAAATGTAAAGATGGCCGGGCGCGGTGGCTCACGCCTGTAATCCCAGCACTTTGGGAGGCCGAGGCGGGCGGATCACGAGGTCAGGAGATCGAGACCATCCCGGCTAAAACGGTGAAACCCCGTCTCTACTAAAAATACAAAAAATTAGCCGGGCGTAGTGGCGGGCGCCTGTAGTCCCAGCTACTTGGGAGGCTGAGGCAGGAGAATGGCGTGAACCCGGGAGGCGGAGCTTGCAGTGAGCCGAGATTGCGCCACTGCACTCCAGCCTGGGCGACAGAGCGAGACTCCGTCTCAAAAAAAAAAAAAAAAATGTAAAGATGACTAATTCTAAACAACAGTAAATAAAATGTACTCATAGCCTGTAAGTGTATTTGAATCTTGTAAGTTACACATTATAGCAGCATGCCATTACTCTCAAGGCAAAAAGCTTCATAAAAACTGATTTTTAATCTCTAGAATTAGATGTAAACAATAGGGAAATCTATGAATTTTCTAATTAGATGTAGTCACTGACCTAGTAGCCCGCTATCTATACACACATGTGTACATACACATATACACACGTACACACACATTTGTGTACATATACATACGTGTGTATAAACACAAACACATACACATACATGTACATATACATATACAGTCATGTGCCACATAACAATGTGATGTTTTGGTCAATGATGGACCAGATGTATGATGATGGTCTCATAAAATTATAATGGAGCTGAAAAATTCCCAGCCCTTAGTGACATCACAACCCTCACAGCACAATGCATTTATTCATGTATTTGTGGTGATACCGGTGTAAACAAACCTACTGTACTGCCAGTCATATAAAAGTATAGCACATACAGTTACGTACAGTTCATAATACTTGATAATAAATGACCATTTTAGCGGTTTATACATTTACTATAGTATACTTTTAATATTATTTTAGAATGTACTCCTACTTCTTAAAAAAAAAAAAGTTGGCTATAAAACAGTTTCAGGGACGCCTTTCAGGAGGTATCCATAAGAAGGTATTGTTATCATAAGCGCTGACAGCCCCATGTGTCCTAGTGCCCCTAAAAATTTTCCAGTGGGACAAGGCTGGGCGCAGTGGCTCAAGCCTGTAATCCCAGCACTTTGGGAGGCTGAGGCGGGCAGATCACGAGGTCAGGAGATCGAGACCATCCTGGCTAACATGGTGAAACCCCGTCTCTACTAAACATACAAAAAAATTAGCCGGGCGTGGTGGCGGTGCCTGTAGTCCCAGCTACTTGGGAGGCTGAGGCAGGAGAATGGCGTGAACCCGGGAGGCAGAGCTTGCAGTGAGCCAAGATCGCGCCACTGCACTCCAGCCTGGGCGACAGAGCGAGACTCCATCTCAAAAAAAAAACAACAAAAAAAACTTTCTAGTGGGACAAGATGTAGAGGTGGAAGACAGTGCTATATTGATGATCCTGACCCTGAGTAAGCTTAGAATAATGTGTTTGTATCTTAGTTTTCAACAATTAAAAAAAAAAGTTTTAAAGGTAAAAAAAGAAAAATTTTAAATAAAAAAGCTTATGAAATATTTTTGTATATACAAAATGTTTGTGTTTTAAGCTGTGTTATTACAAAAGAATCAAACAGTTTTTAAAAATTTTCAACTTTATAAAGTCAAAATGTTATAATAAGCTAAAGTTAATTTATTATTGAAGAAAGAAAAAATTTTAAAATAAATTTGGGGTAGCCTAACTGTACAGCGTTTATAAAGTCTACAGTAGGCCGGGCGCGGTGGCTCACGCCTGTAATCCCAGCACTTTGGGAGGCTGAAGCAGGCGGATCGCTTAAGGTCAGGAGTTTGAGACCAGCCTGGCCAACGTGGTGAAACCCCATCTCTAATAAAAATACAAAACTTAGCCAGGCGTAGTGGCAGGAGTCTGTAATCTCAGCTACTCGGGAGGATGAGGCAGAAGAATCGCTTGAACCCAGGAAGCAGAGGTTGCAGTGAGCTGAGATCACAAACTGCACTCCAGCCTGGACAGAGCAAGATTCTATCTCAAAAAAATTAAAAATTTTTTTAGAAGTCTACAGTAGTGTACAGTAATGTCCTAGGCTTCCACATTCACTCACCACCCACTCACTGACTCAGCCACAGTGACTTCCAGTCCTGCAAGCTCCATTCATGGTCAGTTAACTATAAAGTTAACTATTAAAAAGCTATAGTATATATAGTTTTCTGAGGACTTCTACAACCAAAACTTTGTGGTTATTATTTCCAATTTCTCCTTCCCTCCCTCCCTATACAGGTGTACCATTTTAAATATTTTATACCATATTTTCACAGTACATTTTCTGTTTAGATACAGAAATACCACCATGTTACAATTAAATGCCTACAGTATTCAGTACATGCTGTATAGATTTGTAGCTGAGGAGCAATAGGCTATACTATGTAGCCTAGTGTGTAGTAGGCTATACCATCTAGGTTTGTGTAAGTACACTATGACGTTCACACAATGACAAAATTGTAAAACAATACATTTCTCAGAATGATATATGACTGTACTTATTCTCTTCTAACAATCTGAAGATCTATAAAATTACACTTCTTGATAGCAAGGGCAGTTCATACCAACTGACCATACCTTTTTTCAACAAACTAACAAAAAATATGCTTTACAAATTAAATACTGCCTCCACAGATCCTACAAAATAAGAAAACATTACAACTGCCTTATTTTAATAATAAATAATATTCACCACACACAATAGCCCTGTATCAGTTAGGTTTTCTTCTTTTGTTAAAAACAAAAACAAAAATCTTAAAGCCACATTTATATCAGAAATTCCACAGTATTTAAATATTGAGTTCTTTAAAAATGATCAAGCTTTGGTGCCACTCTGAAATATTATTCATTTTATTTAATTTCTGGCAACTATATCTACAAAACAATCTTAGAATGAGAACTCTAAAGTTATGTGTCAAGAAGCATTTTTTAAATTTAAAGAAATATCTAATACAAAAACCTAAAGTATTAAGTTTTCTTTAAAAAATTATGTTATCTTTTTATTTATTATTATGTTGCTGAGATTCTAACAGCAGAAAAGATTTTGTTACTGACCTAGCAAGTATTAATTAACTATGAAGCATTTTTAAAAATTAGTTTTATTGTGAAGACATGCCACTTTAGAAATGAGTCAGGTCTTCCGGGCGCGGTGGCTCATGCCTGTAATCCCAGCACTTTGGGAGGCAGAGGTGGGAGGATCACTTAAGGTCAGGAGTTTGAGACCAGCCTGGCCAACACTGTGAAACCCTGTCTCTACTAAAAATACAAAAATTAGCCGGGTGCGGTGGAATGTGCCTGTAGTCCCAGCTACTCAGGATGCTGAGGCAGGAGAATTGCTTGAA
Source organism: Homo sapiens (assembly GCF_000001405.40). Classification (NCBI taxonomy): domain Eukaryota; kingdom Metazoa; phylum Chordata; class Mammalia; order Primates; family Hominidae; genus Homo; species Homo sapiens. Next base: position 112,552,200 of record NC_000004.12, read on the forward strand.
CCAAGAGGTGGAGGTTGCAGTGAGCTGAGACTGCGCCACTGCACTCCAGCCTGGGTGACAGAGCGAGACTCTGGCTCAAAAAAAAAAAAAAAGAAAGAAAGAAATGTGTCAGGTCCGAATGCCTGGCTGGACCTTAGAAATATGTCAGAGAAAATTTCTAAAAAATAATTCCTCTAAAATAGTTTTCATTTGTGAATAGGTGATACAAATGAGCAATAGATCATAGTAACTGGGCTTTCATTCAGAAAATCATCCAAGAAATCATTAACAATGATATATATGAATAATGATTCTTATATATCATTGTTACGTTGGGTGAGTAAAATGATAAGTAGTTTACATAAATGACTAATTTGTATTAATTGAACACAGCCAAACTAAGCCTTTCTGGATTTGGTTAAGAAGAGAGTATAGAGTTAACTCTATAATTCAAATAACAGAAAGTTAGTCTGAAGTTTTCTGAGGACTTCCAGAACCAAAACTTGTTATAGATTGGTTATTATTTTCAGTTTCTCCTTCCCGCCCTAGGAAAGTATTATTACATATCCACACCCTTTGCCATGTTACTTGGCAGTGCTTCCCACCAGAGAAGTAGGGGAGTATATTTCCCTGCCTCACTGATGTTAGGCTTGGCCGTGTGACCTGTGCAAATGGAATGTCAGCAAACATAATATGAACTGAAGCTTTAAATGTGTTTCTGTGATCTGTCCTGCCCTCTTGCACTTCTGCCATCTGTTAGAAGATCATGCCATAGCAACTGTTCTCAGAATAAGAGACTTTACCCATAGCCTCAAGCCAAGCCACACCACTTGACCTGTAGAGTCATAAGCTGTTGTCTTAAAGTACTGAGACTGAGTTTGTTAACCCTCATTATTTCAGCAATAGCTGATCAATACAGTGTCCCAAGTAGACTCATTTTCTCAACTCTCTAGCAGAAAGTTACCAATGTGCAAGTGGCCCAAGAAGCCAACAACTTTCTTTTACTCCATCCCCATTGCTTTTCCCCATGCTCTCCTTTCATAGGAGGAAGCTGCTGATTGATTTTTTCTCTTCCAACAGCTGATGCCCAGGCTTCCCTAGATCAAAACTTGATAAAGGAGATAGTGCTACCTGTTACAGCCTGGAATCTTGTGTGCTTAGTCTTGGCTTCCAATACCTGGAAGCTAGCGTCTGAGCCTCCTGGATTCTTGGATATATACAAACACTAAAAGTCTTGGCTTTCTTGGAGAGCATCAAACACAAATTTCATTTGGATATTTTACTCAGGGTCAGATCCTCTCCATCACTGTTTCTCCTAGAATACAACTAATTTCATTTAACTTGTAAGGAATCTATTCCCACCTCTATACTTTCCTCTTCAAGCCTATAAAAAGAAAGTAAACAGGGAGAAGGAGAAAGGATGACTCGGTCATGGTGAGTTGGATCTATTCACGAATTTGAAGAATGCTTTGAAGCAAACATAAAACATACACTGGGTAGACTATATCCAAGGATCCACATGCATGCACCTTAGTAGAATATAAACTATCATAGCAGTTTGTTTTATTTAAAGGAAATATTATTTCATCAACAGAAATAAGAGAATCTGAATGGTATATATAAATCAAGAAACAAATTGAAGCTACTACTTCTTACCTGCTTCAGCAGGGTTCTATTGGTCCCCAGTTTATGCTGCTCAATGCTTTTTCTCACATAGACTCTTTCCGTAGGAGTCAGGTCTTCTTTCATTAGTGCATGTAGTTCTTTTAACTGTTCACTTTCATTTTCTGAGCCAGCATGCAAGCTAAAGAATTATATTAAAACACTCCTCTTTATTCCATTTTTCATAACATCACAGTAAAGCAAAATATAGATTTTCTTTTTTTTATTATACTTTAAGTTTTAGGGTACATGTGCACAATGTGCAGGTTTGTTACATATGTATACATGTGCCATGTTGGTGTGCTGCACCCATTAACTCGTCATTTAACATTAGGTATATCTCCTAATGCTATCCCTCCCCCCTCCCCCCACCCACAACACGCCCCAGTGTGTGATGTTCCCCTTCCTGTGTCCATGTGTTCTCATTGTTCAATTCCCACCTATGAGTGAGAACATGTGGTGTTTGGTTTTTTGTCCTTTCGACAGTTTGCTGATCCCATTACTGGGTATATACCCAAAGGATTATAAATCATGCACACGTATGTTTATTGCGGCAGTATTCACAATAGCAAAGACTTGGAACCAAGCCAAATGCCCAACAATGACAGACTGGATTAAGAAAATGTGGCACATATACACCATGGAATACTATGCAGCCACAAAAAATGATGAGTTCATGTCCTTTGTAGGGACATGGATGAAGCTGGAAACCATCATTCTCAGCAAAATACAGATTTTCTAAGTTAACCAAGTAAAGATAAGCCTTTCTCCATTCTTCAAAAATCAAACTTAAGGTAAGAGTGATATAAAAGTACCATACTTCCCTCTGACCATTCTGTGACTTCTGGAATTTTGCATTCTTACCTATAAGGTAAAATTGGTTTGGCAATCTTCCTAACACTCCCAACTCTGATAAAGTTTTCAAATCCAAGACTGAGAAGCCTTTAAATAAGAAAACAATATAGATTCTGATTATTTAGGAAACAGAATATAAAGTTTCATATAATAACTGTTACTACAACTAATTTTGTGTAACAGTATATTTTAATTATAAAATTTAATGTGAAATACCTAAACTCAAACAAAGTAAATGCAAGTAGTTGGTTTTTTAAATATAATGCATTTTCTAGAGAATTTTAAAATACGCATTATTCCATCTTGAAGGCTCACTAAATGTTCATAAAATGCCAATGTTAGTATTTACCACAAATAAAATTGCCTCTAAAGACATAATATAGAAAGCAATAGCTATCATATACTTAGCACCAAGATTTGTTAGGAAGAGCCTCTTTACATATGTTATACTGTTTAACACTCACTACAGCTCCAGATGATATCTACTCTTAGAGATGAGGACACAAGCTCAGAGGTGAGGTATCATGATTCAAGCCCAAGCAACTCTGTCTACATCCAAAGGTTATGACCTTTCCTCTACATACATTATCCCCCAGTTAGGGCTTTGTGAGGAAGGACCCCTCACCTACACTTCCCTTTTATATATCTTACAGCTCTAGCACTATGCTGGGAACACAGGTGGAACTCAGTGAATACTCAACCCTCTAAAACTTCTACCACCTCAAAATGGGAATTTAAAGAGCTGGAGAACTAAACTATAGATCTCTAAAAACAATTTTCCAAAATAATTATGAAACAAACTAGTGTCAATACATGAAAAGATTTCGATTTTCACATTTTTCACAGTCTTCACCCTGAAGAATAATAGCAACTTAACAGGCTGAAATACTAGTTTACAATTTTTTTTCCAATGCAAGTTTGGTTAAATCTATAATAATAAGGGACGCAGTCTCCTCAAAGTACTATTCACCCCATGCTCTTTCATTTCTTCTCAAGAAACTGTTCTATCCATTAATCAATAGGAAAACATTGTCTGTTCAAGCACACAATGAGAAGGTTATTTCAGTGTGAAGAAATGTACGAAACCAGACTATAAGCAATTGAGGCACAGATCCTAATTAGAGATTCACATTTCTCAGGTTCTTCTCAGAGATTTAAGCATTAAAGAATCTCTTTTATAAGTTTCCTGTTAACTTTTAGTATTGAGTACTTACCCTCCCTCCTCATTCTAACTTCTCGTTTTTTTGTTTTCTTTTGTTTTTTAATATTGTTTTGTTTTCTAACAGTCTACAGTTAAATTTTCACTTTGGGCTAAGCAATCTAAAGTTCCTTCCTGTGTAGTCTCCAGGTAACTCCTCATTGTCTTTAATTTAAAAAAAAAACAAAAACAAAAAACAACGTTGTCCTCAGCCACTCTTTTAAATTGCTTATAAGAGTGTGTACTGGAAGAATCTTTCTGAAGGGAAATTTGAAAAGTATATTTAGAAGCTTAAAAGTTTTCATATTTTTTATTCTAGACTTAGGATTATTTTCCTAAGGAAAGAATCAGAAATGGATACAGAGTTTTATGTTTAAGGATCTTTGTCATAATATAATTCATACTGGCAAGAATTTGGAAATAATTTACTGATCAAAAATTGCTTAATGTATGGTATAAGAAAATCATTGAATATAATAGAGTTATAAAAAATTACATTTTCTAAGTTTTTTTTTGAGACAGAGTCTCACTTTGTCACCCAGGCTAGAGTGCAGTGGTATGATCTTGGCACAATGCAACCTCCACTCCTGGGTTCCAGTGATTCTTGTGCCTCAGCTGCCCAAGTAGCTGGAATTACAGGCATATGTCACCATTCCCAGCTAATTTTTATATTTTTGGTAGAGACGGGGATTTGCCATGTTTGTTGGCCAGGCTAGTCTTGAACTCCTGGCCTCAAGTGATCTGCCCACCTCAGCCTCCCAAAGTGCTGGGAATACAGGCATGAGCCAACCTTTTAAGTAAGAAAAGCAGGACACAAACAACACATACTACTGAATCTCAAATTTGGAAAACAAAATGTGTGCATGTATATTTAAAAATCTGTAAATAAATATAATAAAACATCTGTGTAGTCTGCATATATTCTACCATAAGTATTAACTTATATAATTATAAAAATTAATTTTTAAAAAGCTTACGCTTAGAAATAATGACTGTTTCTCCTAATCAAACTTTGCCATTTATGTTGAAATTCAGATCATTAAACATCAGAACACTGGTGAAATACTGTAATACTTCTTTGCATTTTTAATAGTCTTATGCAATCACAAAAATTATCTTAAAAACAGATTGTCTTCTTTGCATTCCTCTTATTGAAATAAAAAACATAATGTACTTAAATTTGTTCAGCCATTTTACTATTATGTATTCATATAGGCAGATGAACAAGAGACTAATCTATAACTACTGATTCTGGAATTTGATTTTAGCCTACTTCTTCTTCTTTTTTTTTTTTTTGAGACAGATTCTCCCTCTGTCACCCATGCTGGAGTGCAGTGGTGCAGTCTCAGCTCACTGCAGCCTCTGCCTCCTGAGTTCAAGCAATTCTCCTGCCTCAGCCTCCTGAGTAGCTGGGATTGCAGGCACCTGGCACCAAGCCAGGCTAAGTTTTTTTGTATTTTTAGTAAAGACGGGGTTTCACCATGTTGGCCAAGCTGGTGTTGAACTTCTGACATCAAGTGATCTGCCTGCATTGGCCTCCCAAAGCACTGGGATTACAGGCATGAGCCACCATGCCCAGCCTGATTTTAACCTACTTCTAACGTAACAGACCCAAGACTTCTAGATCAGAGACAAAGGACTTTTACTTATGGCACAGGAAGCAGTATAATCGTCAACATATCTGCATTGGTTTCCCTTGGTTCCCAAGTCACATGAGGAGACAAAGAGCATCCAGGTAGATGCCTGCACATGCCGTGGGTTGAGGAGTAGGGCAAGAACACTGAGGCTGGGGATCCATTATCTTATAACAAGTAATAAGCAAGCCTGCTCTTTGTCCTGGAGGGAGACATT